>NW_003315946.1:0-89672 GCF_000001405.40 Homo sapiens | reverse complement strand
ACAATAAAATACTCTGAACTAGTACATTCGTGTACTATAAACAGTAGAATTACCTATTTATAGATCCCAGTCCTTGGTAAAAATGGGCTTCTGTCATTGAGGAACATAAGATTTTTGTAGCATAATTGGTGAAACATGAGATCAGAAAAGCAGAGAACCATGATATTTTCTGTTCTTGGCCTGGAAAATTGGCTTCATAGAATCCTTCATTGATAGGGTTGATCTCAACTTGTTAGGTGGACATGTCTGTATTTCCGTCTGAGATGCAGAGATAAAACAGGTTGGCTGGGCGCGGTGGCTCATGCCTGTAATCCCAGCACTTTGGGAGGCCGAGGTGGGTGGATCACCTGAGGTCGGGAGTTCAAGACCAGCCTGACCAACATGGAGAAACCCTGTCTCTACTAAAAATACAAAATTAGCCGGGGTGGTGGTGCATGCCTGTATTCCCATCAACTCAGGAAGCTGAGGCAGGAGAATCGCCCCATTGCACTCCAGCCTGACAACAAGAGTGAAACTGCGTCTCAAAAAAAAAAAATCCCTTAAGCTTATTACAAAAAAGAGGGAGTCCTTCTATATCTCTCTCACTCTCCTCGAGGCAACCACTTGTGACCCTTAGCTGATTCTTTTGGTATCTATCACTGCAGATCCTAGCATGCTTTTTATGCTACATTTTGATTTTTCAGCTTTAGACCATTTTTTACTGACTTCTGCAACTTGCCCCTCTTTTTCTACCGTCTGCCACAGGCATCCACACTTCCTCCCGATCCTCCCAGTATGGTTATATTATAACTTTGTTCAAATTAGTAATTGATGTTTTCATTATTATGACTATGTATATACTACTCACATAGTAAATTTTCTTTCTTTTCCGGTATACTTATTGTTTAATAGTGTCTCTGTCTCTCTGTCTTACTGATACATTCCCACATTTTTCCAGTTGCATAAATTAGGTTCAAGTCCATCTGATTTTCTTTCTCCACTTTTATCTTTGTGAATAAGTCCCTCCCGGTGCCTTCTGACCCACTCCCATCTGGCTTAGCCACTCTGGGCCTGCTGCACAGCTGTGAGATCTGAAACTCTGATTGATTTTTCCATTGTTCTCGGGATCTCCTTTGCTTCTCTATCGGATAGGATCTCCCATTTCTGTGTTATTCACTTTCTTGGTTTACCCTTTGGTGGATCCTGAGTAAGAGTGCATGAGAAAGAATTCTAGGTTGGAAATTCTTTTCCCTTAGAATTCTGAAGCCCTGGCTCCGCTGTCTTCCAGCTCCTCGTATTATTAGCAAGTAAGCTGCCATTCTGAGAGTTATCCCTTTGTGTAGGACCTGTTTTATTTTTTTTTCCCCCAGGAGCTTTTAGGATGTTTTATCCTTACTGTTATGAAATGTAATAATTAGGTTTCTTGGTATGTGGATCAATTAATTGTTCTGGACACCTGGTAGGTTCTTCTAATCCAATACCCACGTCCTTCAGTTCTGGGGGGAAATTCTTTTACTCTTATTTTTCATTTCTTTGTCTTTTTACTATGCTTTCTGGGAGAGTTTGTCTTTTTTATCTTTGAATCCTCTATTGAGTTTTTCATTTTTGACATTTCCAGAGTTCTTTTTTTTCGTGAATCTTCTTTTTTACAGCATTCTCTTTATGTTTCATTATACAGAAACTCTTCTCTTTCTTTTTTTATTTTATTTTATTTTATTATTATTATACTTTAAGTTTTAGGGTACATGTGCACAATGTGCAGGTTAGTTACATATGTATACATGTGCCATGCTGGTGTGCTGCACCCATTAACTCGTCATTTAGCGTTAGGTATATCTCCTAATGCTATCCCTCCCCCCTCCCCTCACCCCGAAACTCTTCTCTAAGGCTATTAATAATTGTCAAGTGTTTTTCACTCTGCCTGTTTCTTCCCTGTTATTCATTTATTTGTTTCTGTTAGTCCGTTTGGCCTCTGCCTTTCATGTTAAAGGCTTTCCTCATGTCTGGTGATCATCTCATCACTGCATCATGTGGCTTACTGAGCTTGGGTTTCACTGAAGAATGATCTGGCTGGACTGCTTATTTGGGGTAGCCCTGAAGCCAGAATCTTCAGATCTTTTCTTTTGTGTCAGTTATGTTCCTCAGAAATGGTTTTTCATTCTCCTGCCTGGTGAGTATTGGCCTGGCTATCAGCATTCTAAGGGGAAAAAAAAGAATGGTGTTCTCAACATTCAGTGAGAAATGTTCACTTAATCCTGGTTTTCATATACTGCTTCTGCCTGATAGCCCTCCTCAGACAACGTCTCCAGTATTCTGCTGACGTGCATTTTGGGAGCTTCCCACCTTCTTAGTCAGGGCATGGCTATCTGAGGGGTCTACCAGCTGTTAACGGATCCCTCTTTGAAGCCCCACTTACTCCTTTTCTAGAATATCTGGGGTCCCCAATTCCTGAGTCCAAGGATTCCATAGTATAAATCAGGTGGCTTCTTGGCTTTCCTCTCTGCCGACCTGGGACTTAGTTTCAGGGCTCTGCTAAGTCAGTGCCACTACTTGTCTGCTTTCCAGTTCCCCAAATTTTGTCACTGATCTCTCCCTTTCCTGTGGGATTTTGGAAAAGAGCAGAGTGTAATGTGTGTGTGCAGTTGACCAGCTTTAAGTGAATGTCCCAAATGTCTCTTTCCATTTCACCCCACCAAAGGGGTTTCTGTTCTCATTCTCTTCCCTCCCTTCCTCCCTCCCTTGCACCTTCTATCCCTTTCCTGTTAGGCTCTCCCAACACCCCTTCTCTTCAGGTAACCATTTTGGAGTTCCGAGATCAGGTTCACCAGAACTACCATTTATAGGCTGACTGTTCAGTCAGCTCACCTACCATATCATGCTTACCGCAGGCGGGTTTGTTATGTTGTTTCGTAGAGATGAGGTCTCACTTCGTTGCCTAGGCTGGCCTTAAACTCCAGGGCTCAAGCAGTCCTTCCACTTTGGCCGCAGGCAGATTTTGAAGACAGAGAAATAAGTACCATTTGAAGGTGTGCTTTTCTGATTTTTCAGGCAGCGCTGTTCATAAGATGATTGTGGACAGGCAGTATATGGGCGTGTCTAAGCGGAAGTGCATCGTGTGGGGTGTCGCCTTCTTGTCCGATGGCACTATCATAAGTGTGGACTCTGCTGGGAAGGTGCAGTTCTGGGACTCAGCCACTGGGACGCTTGTGAAGAGCCATCTCATCGCTAATGCTGACGTGCAGTCCATTGCTGTAGCTGACGTGAGTACAGTCCCTGTTTAGAGTGGTTGATGTACACCCTTGTGGGGTGAGTTGAGAAAGCAGCCTTAGTGACGTGCCATGAACACTGGTTCCTGATCCTGATGTTGTACTGGAGGAAGATGAGTTTAGGAAAATGCATCTGAAAACCCACATTGTTTCCATAGTACCTAACAATTGGTTAGAGAATACAGGATACTCCAAGAGATTAGTTAGCAGGGAGATTTTCTTTAGACACTGCTCACTTCCAGTTCGTCTTGTTTGATTGTAGATAGGGCACAGCAGCCTAGAAGAATCTGGAGAAGCGCTATGTTTATACCTTTGTATTTATGCATTTATTTTTAATTTAATTAAAAAAATAGAGATGGGGTCTCCCTATATTACCCAAGGTGGTCTTAAATTCCTGGGCTGGGGGATCCTCCCATCTCAGCCTCCCAAAGTGCTGGGATTATAGGCAGGAACCACGGCACCTGGCCAAAATGTCTTATTTAGTAGTAGTTCTTTTTTTTTCTTTTTTTGAGATGGAGTTTCATTCTTGTCGCCCAGGCTGGAGTGCAATGGCGCGATCTAGGCTCATTGCAACCTCTGCCTCCCAGGTTCAAGCGATTCTTCTGCCTCAGCCTCCCCAGTAGCTCGGATTACAGGCCCCTGTCACCACACCCAGCTAATTTTTATATTTTTAGTAGAGATGGGGTTTCACCATGTTGGGCAGGCTAGTCTCGAACTCCTGACCTCAGGTGATCCACCCACCTCGGCCTCCCAAAGTGCTGGGATTACAGGTGTGAGCCACTGTGCCTGGCCTATTTTCTCTCTCTTTTTTTTTTTATTTTTTTGAGACGGAGTCTAGCTCTGTCACCCAGGCTGGAGTGCAGTGGCACAATCTTGGCTCACTGCAACCTCTGCCTCCAGGGAGCAATTTCTCCTGCCTCAGCCTCCGAAGTAGGTGAGATTACAGGCGCCCGCCTCTGTGCCCAGCTAATTTTTATATGTTTAGGCTTTCACCATGATGGCCAGGGTGGTCTGACTCCTGACCTCAAGTGATCTGCCTGCCTCGGCCTCCCAAAGTGCTGAGATTGCAGGCGTGAGCCACCACACCCAGCCTATTATTTTCTATGACGTAAATATTGTAGAGGAATGGTAACGTGAATTCTCATTCAGAAACCTTTGAGTATTTTAGCAGTGAGACATGGAAAGTGACTTTATTTGTTGACCAGCTCCTTTATTCTTTATCTCCTTAGTTTGAGAATGATGTGCTATCCCACATGCCGACATCCATATTCTAGTGTAGTGTTCCTATTCCATATCACAGGTTTTTTTAGAACAGTTTGATGTATGTTAAGGCCCTGAAAAACATAGATGTCACACGTAAGTGATAATAGTGGTATAAGTTGAAATGAGTGGGATAAATTCCCCTTTAAAAATAGAGTTTTAATCCACAGCAGTTGTAATTATTATACTTAAGAGTTAATTATTGGCCGGGCATGGTGACTCACGCCTGTAGTCCCAGCACTTTGGGAGGCCAAGGCGGACGGATCACCTGAGGTCAGGAGTTCAAGACGAGCCTGGTCAACATGGTGAAACCCTGTCTCTACTAAAAATGCAAAAATTAGCTGGGCGTGGTGGTGGGCGCCTATAATCCCATCTACTTGGGAGACTGAGGCAGGAGAATCACTTGAACCCGGGAGTCGGAGGTTGCAGTGAGCCGAGATCATGCCATTGCCCTCCAGCCTGGGCGACAAAAGCAGGACTCCATCTCAAATAACAATAATAATAATAATAATAATGATTTCACCTAAGAGAAAGAGAATACAGAGTAAAGGAGAAGTCCTTGTCTTCCAAATCTCTCTCTGGATGGGACTTTGAGAAAACTACCCTTTTTAAAAAATTTTTTTGAGACAGTCTCTCACTCTGTCTCCCAGGCTGGAGTGCAGTGGTGCAGTCTCGGCTCACTACAACCTCTGTCTCCTGGGTTCAAGCGATTCTCCTGACTCAGCCTCCCAAGTAGCTAGGATTACAGGTGCATGCCACCATGCCAGGCTAATTTTTGTAATTGTAGTAGAGACTGGGTTTTACCATGGCTGGTTTTGAACTCCTGACCTCAGGTGATCCACCAGCCTCGGCCTCCCAAAGTGCTGAAAATACAGGCATGAGCCACCGCCCCTGGCTTTTTCTTTTTCTTTTTCTTTTTTTTTTTGTAAATTAAGTAAACTGTGTCGTTGGAGGTGGGGGAGTGTTTGAGTTCCTAAGCTGCTGGGTATGTCCACTTTTGTCTTAGGCTAATGGTTTTTAAGTAGTGTCTTTAGAGAAGAGGGAGAGGCTCCTCAGGGCCACCTTATGTGCTGTCCTTGGAAAATGCTTTCCTTTCTGGTACACAGTCATGACCCTGCAAGAGAGTTGGCATAAGGTTAAGGCAGTGTGGTGTTCCCAGAGCACAGGCTTTGGAGCCAGATGGCCGTGTTTGTCATGGCTTTAAACCCTTTGGAGCTCTGGTTTCCTTATCTGTGAAAAAGGTTACTAAATGATGATTAGGCAGAAAAAAGTTATAATCATGATTCATACAAGTATGAAATGGAAATAAGTCCGATTTTCTGTAATTCCTTAATGAGGGAACTGGTAAAATATTTCAAGCAGTTCAACCCGGGAGGCAGAGGTTGCAGTGAGCCGAGATTGTGCCGTTGTGCTCCAGCCTGGGCAACAGAGACTCTGTCTCAAAAAAAAAAAAAGAAAAAAAAAGATATTCCAAACTTTAGTCTTTTTACCATTAGTTTTGTAATTCTCCCCACATTATTTACTTTTAAACTATTTTAAAAGTGTACATTTCAGTGGAATAAAGTTCATTCACGTTGTTGTACAGCTATCACCACTATCCATTTTCAGAATTTTTTCATCACCACAAACAGAAACCTGTACTCATTAAACACTACCTCCTCATTCCTCCCTTCTCTCAGCCTCTGGTCACCTCTATTCTACTTTCTGTTCCTATGAATTTGCTTATAACATTTGTTATTTTGTATCTGGCTTATTTTACTTAGCATATTGTTCTCAAGGTTCATCCATCTTGCAGCATTATCAGTATTTCATTCCTTACTAAGACTGCATAATATTTGTGTGTGTGTTCTGTTTATCCATTCATCTATTAGTGGACGTTTGGGTTGTTTCCATCTTTCGGCTGTTGTAAATAATGCTGCTCTAGGCCAGGTGCGGTGGCTCACGCCTGTAATCCCAGCACTTTGGGAGACCAAGGCGGGTGGATCAGTTGAGGTCAGGAGTTCGAGACCAGCCTGGCCAGTATGATGAAACCCTGTCTCTACTAAAAATACAAAAATTAAGCCGGGCGCGGTGGCTCACGCCTGTAATCCTAGCACTTTGGGAGGCCGAGGCGGGTGGATCACGAGGTCAGGAGATCAAGACCATCCCGGCTAACATGGTGAAACCCCATCTCTACTAAAAAAAAAAAATACAAAAAATTAGCCGGGTGTGGTGGCGGGCGCCTGTAGTCCCAGCTACTCGTGAGGCTGAGGCAGGAGAATGGCGTGAACCAGAGAGGCGGAGCTTGCATTGAGTGCGATCGCGCCACTGCACTCCAGCCTGGGCGACAGAGCGAGACTCTGCCTCAAAAAAAAAAAAAAAAAAATACAAAAATTAGCCTGCATGGTGCTGCGTGCCTGTAATCCCAGCTACTTGGGAGGCTGAGGCGGGAGAATTGCTTGAACCCGGGAGATAGACGTTGCAGTGAGCTGAGATCGTGCCATTGCACTCCAGCCTGGTCAACAGAGTGCAACTCCAGCTCAAAATAATAATAATAATAATAATAATAATAATAATAATAATAATAAGCCGGGCGTGGTGACTCACGCCTGTAAACCTACCACTTTGGGAGGCCGATGCGGGTGGATTGGCTGAGCTCAGGAGTTCCAGACCAGCCTGGGCAACATGGTGAAACTCTGTCTCTACTAAAATACAAAAAAATTAGCTGGGCGTGGCGGTATGCGCCTGTAGTCCCAGCTACTCGGGAGGCTGAGGCAGGAGAATCGCTTGAACCAGGGAGGCGGAGGTTGCAGTGATCTGAGATCACCCCGCTGCACTCCAGCCTGGGTGACAGAGCAAGACTCTGTCTCCAAACAAACAAACAAACAAAAAATAATAATGCTACTCTGAACATTGAGGTACAAGTACAGGTTGAGTGTCTCTGATCTGGTTGTGCTTGGAACCAGAAGTGTTTCAGATTTTGGATTTTTTTTTGGATTTTGGAATATTTGCATATACATAATGAGATATCTTGGGGATGGGACCCCAGCCTATACAAGAAATGCATTTATGTTTCATACGTCCCTGATACACATAGCCTGACGGTAGTTTTGTACAATATTTTATTCATTTTGTGCATGAAACACAGTTTTGACTGTGATCCAGCAGATGAGGTCAGATGTGAAGTTTTCTACTTGTGGTGTCATGTTAGCACTCAAAAAGTTTCGGATTTTGGATTAGGAATCCTTTTTTTTTCTTTTTAGCTGGGACTACAGGCTCATGCCACCACGCCTGTCTAATTTTTGTTTTGTTGTTTTGTTTGTTTGTTTTGTTTTTCGAGACGGAATCTTGCTCTGTCGCCTAGGCTGGAGTGCAGTGGCGTGATCTCCGCTCACTGCAAGCTCCGCCTCCCTGGTTCACGCCCCATTCTCCTGCCTCAGCTTCCCAAGTAGCTGGGACTACAGGCGCCCGCCACCACACCCGGCTAATTTTTTGTATTTTTTTTTTCAGTAGAGATGGGTTTTCACCGTGTTAGCCAGGATGGTCTTGATCTCCTGACCTTGTGATCTGCCCGCCTCGGCCTCCCAAAGTGCTGGAATTACAGGCGTGAGCCACCGTGCCCAGCCTAATTTTTGTATTTTTAATAGAGACGGGGTTTCATTATGTTGGCCAGGCTGGTGTCTAACCCCTGACTTCAAGTGATCCGCCCGCCTCGGCTTCCCAAAGTGTTGGAATTACAGATGTGAGCCACTGCGCCCGGCCTAATTTTTGTATTTTTAATAGAGACGGGGTTTTATCATGTTGGCCAGGCTGGTCTCTAACCCCGACCTCAAGTGATCCGCCCGCCTCAGCCTCCCAAGGTGCTGTGATTACAGGCCTGAGCCACCACGCCTGGCCCTGGATTAGGAATCTTCAATCTGTATTAGTATAGCTGTTTGAGTTCCTGCCTTCAATTCTTTTGGATGTATATCTTCATTACTTTTTTTTTTTTTTTTTGAGACACGGTCTTGCTCTGTCACCCAGGTGGAGTGCAGTGGTGTAATCCTGGCTCACTGCAGCCTCTGCCTCCCAGGCTCGAGCAATCCTACCTCAGCCTCCCAAGTGGCTGGGACTACAGGCATGCACCACCAGGCTAAGTTTTTAACATTTTTTGTAGAGATGCAGTCTCACTATGTTGCCCAGGTTGGTCTCAAATTCCTGGGTTGAAGTGATTCTCCTGCCTTCCAAAGTGCGGGATTACAGATGTGAGCCATCACATCTAGCCACATTACTACTCTTGTTTGGGTTTTTTGTGTTGTGAGTTGTGTTTTTTTGTTTTGTTTTGTTTTTTCTTGTTTATTTCTTTCATTCTTTTTAAAGATGAGACTTTGGGAGGCTGAGGCGGGCGGATCACCTGAGGTCAGGAGTTTGAGACCAGCCTGGCAAACGTGGTAAAACCCTGTCTATACTGAAAAATAAATACAAGCCTGGGCACGGTGACTCACACCTGTAATCCCAGCACTTTGGGAGGCCGAGGAGGGTATATCCCCTAGGTCAGGAGTTTGAGACCAGCCTGGACAACATGGTGAAACCCCATCTCTACTAATAATACAAAAATTAACCAGGCATGGTGGCGCACGCCTGTAATCCCAGCTACTCAGGAGGCTGAGGCAGAAGAATGGCTTGAACCAAGGAGGCAGGGGTTGTGGTGAGCTGAGATCGCGCCATTGCACTCCAGCCTGGGCGACAAGAGTGAAACTCTGTCTCAAAAAAAACAAAAACAAAAATTAGCCGGGTGTGGTGGTGTGTGCCTGTAATCCCAGCTACTTGGGAGCCTGAGGTGGGAGAATCTCTTGAACCCGGGACGGCAGAGGTTGCAGTGAGCCGAGATCATGCCACTGCCCTCCAGCCTGGGTGACAGAGCGAAACTCCGTCTCAAAAAATACAAACAAACAAACAAAAAAAGATGAGGTCTCACTATGTTGTGCAGACTGGTCTCCAACTTCTGGGCTCAAGTGATCCTCCTACCCAGTCTCCTGAGTAGCTGGGACTACAGGTTTGTGCTGCTCTGCCCACCTTGTTTATTTAAGAAACTTTTTTATTGGTGTTTCTTGCATTTTTTTTTCTTTTTTTAAGCCAGAGTCTCGCCCTGTTGCCCAGGCTGGAGTGCAGTGGTGCGATCTTGGCGTACTGCAACCTCTGCCTCCCAGGTTCAAGTGATTCTCGTGCCTCAGCCGTCCAAATAGTTGGGATTACAGGCATGCGCCACCACGCCCAGCTAATTTTTGTATTTTTAGTAGCGACGGGGTTCACCATGTTGGCCAGGCTGGTCTCAAACTCCTGGCCTCAAGTGATCCACCCAGCTCAGCTTCTCAAAGTGCTGGGATTATAGGAGTGAGCCACCATGCCTGGCTGATGTTTCTTGGATATTTTTAATGAAATAAACGTTATTAAGAAACACCTGTTCTAGTTCCAAATAAAGGATTTTCAGTATTTTTATTGGTTTAATACATTTCTTTAGTGATAATAACTTGATCATGTTAAATATTCGTATTAAATAACATGATATGAATTTCTTTGTTAGGTTTTCTCTTATGTTCTTTCGAAGGATTTAAATTTCTCAAGTAGGTCCTAGGTATTTTCTCTCTCTCAATGCTATTCTAAGGAGATCTATGTTGGGTATATGAAGCGTTGCTGTACTGTAGACGTTAATTTTGTCAGTAGGGGGCGCATTGTTACCAGTGTCTGAGCTTGCTCCTTTGATGGAATCCTTAGCTTCTGGAAGGAAAAGACCCTTGTAACTTTCCTACTGATTCTGGGCATAGGTTTACCCCTAAGCTGCTGAGACAGAAAGCCTCGGAATATTTTTCCAACCAGACCTTGTTTTGCTTACGTGTACCTCCCTCATGATTTAATTCCTCAGCAAGAAGACAGTTTCGTGGTGGGCACAGCCGAGGGAACAGTCTTCCATTTTCAGCTGGTCCCTGTGACATCTAACAGCAGTGAGAAGCAGTGGGTGCGGACAAAACCGTTCCAGCATCACACTCATGACGTGCGCACTGTGGCCCACAGCCCAACAGCGCTGATATCTGGAGGTGGGTTCCCCCTCTGGTGAGGCTGCTGCTTTACCCTGCCCAGTTCTGGCTGTTCTCGTGAGGATGACTTCTAATTCTGTACACCTTCTCCCCTGCTTTCCCAGGCACTGACACCCACTTAGTCTTTCGTCCTCTCATGGAGAAGGTGGAAGTAAAGAATTACGATGCCGCTCTCCGAAAAATCACCTTTCCCCACGTAAGTGTCCATTCCAAGCCCCTGCTAACCCCTCATCTCCCCATCCCTGTGTCCCCCTGTCCCACAAGCTCTGAACACAGCTCACGCTCGGCAAATTTGTAGGACTTTTTTTTTTTTTTTGAGACAGAGTTTGCTCTTGTTGCCCAGGCTGGAGTGCAATGGCGCGATCTCGGCTCACCACAACCTCCACCTCCCGGGTTCAAGCGATTCTCCTGCCTCAGCCTCCCGAGTAGCTGGGATTACAGGCATGCGCCACCGCGCTCAGCTAATTTTATATCTTTAGTAGAGACTGGGTTTTTCCATGTTGGTCAGGCTGATCTCGGAACTCCCAACCTCAGGTGATCTGCCCGCCTCAGCCTCCCAAAGTGCTGGTATTACAAGTGTGAGCCACCACGCTCAGCTTTGTGGTCCTTTTTTTTTCTTTTTTTTTTTTTTTGAGACTGAGTCTCTCTCTGTCGCCCAGGCTGGAGTGCAGTGGTGCGACTCCACTCACTGCAAGCTCCGCCTCCCAGGTTCATGCCATTCTCCTGCCTCAGCCTTCCGAGTGGCTGGGACTACAGGTGCCCACCACCACGCCCGGCTAATTTTTTTATTTTTAGTAGAGGTGGGGTTTCACTGTGTTAACCAGGATGGTCTTGATCTCCTGACTTCGTGATACGCCCGCCTCGGCCTCCCAAAGTGCTGGGCTTACAGGCGTGAGCCACTGTGCCCAGCCCCTGCCTTTTTTTTTTTTTTAACCATCTGGGACATGGAGATATTGTAGGACTTTCTGTAGCTACCTTCTTCATTCCTTCTGTTTTTGAGGCAAGCCACTGCAAAGACATTTATGGGGGCAGGAGATATGCAGCAGCACACCTAGTTCAGTTTCTGGGGAAATTTTTCCCTTTTCCAAATAGTTGTGGGTTATGGGAATTTTGTTAGTTTGTCTTTCAGGGTAGGCTCTATTCTGGGTGGGAGCGGGAAAACCCAGGCTTCCAGTGTTCTAGGTAAATGGTACCATCTTCCCAAGCTAGAAAACTTGCTCCCCACACCTGCTGCCCCATTCATTCAAGCAGTAAACCTCATTGAGTCTACTCATCAGTATCTTTATACATATGTTATAGATATAGATAGATAGATAGATAGATCAACAGCTCTATTGAGGCATACTTGATATATTAAAAATCATACATATTTAATGCATATGGTTTGATGAGGTTGAACATAGTCCTCATAATCTCTTGAATCGAGTCATTCATTTCTCTTTGTCTACGCTGGCATCATCCTAGTTTGGATCAGTGTCTTTTCTCATCTGGGTTCCTTTACAGTAGCTTCTTAATCATGTCCTTTTATTTGCATTTGTGTCATTCTAGCCTATTCTTCATTGATCTTATTTTATTTTATTTGTTTTTGTTTTTTTGAGACAAGGTCTTGCTCCGTCACCCAGGCTGCACTGCAGTGGTGTAATCTTGGCTCACTGTAACCTCTGCTTCTTGAGCTCAAGCAGTCCTCCCACATCAGCCTCCCGAGTTGCTGGAGCTGCAGGCATGCGCCACCAGGCTCAGCTAATTTCTGTTTTTCTTTTTTTTTTTTTTTTTTTTTTGAGACAGAGCTTTGCTCTTGTTGCCCAGGCTGGAGTGTAGTAGTGAAATCTCGGCTCACTGCAACCTCAGTCTCCTGGGTTCAAGCGATTCTCCTGCCTCAGCCTCCCTAGTAGCTGGGATTACAGGCACCCGCCACCACGCCTAGGTAATTTTTTTTGTATTTTTAGTAGAGACAGGGTTTCACCATGTTGGCCAGGCTGGTCTTGAACTCCTGACCTCAGGTGATCCACCTGCCTTGGCCTCCCAAAGTGCTGGGATTACAGGCATGAGCCACTGTGCCCGGCCTCGGCTAATTTTTTTATTTTTTATTTTTTTTAATAGAGGCAAGATCTCACTATCTTGCCCAGGCCAGTCTCAAACTCCTGGTCTCAAGCAATCCTCGCACCTCAGCCTCTCGATTGCTGGCATTACAGGCATGAGCCACTGCTCCAGGCCCATTGATCTGTTTTAAAGCACCTTTGTTCATCACTCCATGCTTCAAAGCCTCTGGTTATCCCTGTTGGCTTCAGCATAAAGACAGTTTCCTTAGTGTGTCTTATAGAACCTGTCTCCATCCAGGCCTGGCCCTTCAGCTTCTTTTTGCACCTCTCGTGCTTGTAGCACCCCCACCCAGGCTAGCCATTCTCAAGGTCTTTTTGTTCCCTCAAATACTCTTACCTTTGAGCTATGTCACATGCCATCACCCTCCTCAGAATGTTCTGCCCTGCCTCCTTCGCCTGACTGGTCTTTCCCAGTGAACCTCATCTGGGCTTCTGTATTTACCACCACACAGCTAGGTTAGATGTCCTGTCTCCTTATTTTTCAGTACATACTGTGTTTAGCCGTGTTAAAATTCTTGGCACACTGAAGTCTAATTGCTGATTTAATTCTGTGTCACCCCTTTAGAAGCATGTTGAGAGCAGTAGCTATGTTTTAATTCATCATCGTCTTCATAGATCTCAGGGCAGTGCCTGGCATATGGGAGTACTTAGGAAATATTTATCAAGGAAATGGATTTCAGCAGTAAAAAATGTGCTAAGGTGGTGCTACTGTATCTGGTACTAAGGCAGTAGATGACCCTGACTTATTTTTTTAACTTCTTGATTCTTGGATATAGCGATGTCTCATCTCCTGTTCTAAAAAGAGGCAGCTTCTCCTCTTCCAGTTTGCTCATCACTTAGAACTTTGGCGACTGGGATCCACAGTTGCAACAGGTAAGATGGGAGCACGTTTTTTTCAATAAGAAAACTGGAGAGAGAAGCCAGAAATCAGAATTGCGGTTGGAATTCTGCTTATAGAAAAACTGAAGTAGACTTTTGTGTCCATTTTAACTAATGGTTTTCCCACCCATTAGATAAAGCAAATAAGCTGTTTAGAGTATTAGAATCTTTAGCAGGATATTGGATCATCTCTTAAAAGTTTATGGCTCTAGGTGGTGCGCTGCAGGGTGTAGTCAAGGTAAGGGTTGAAGAATCGTAGTTTGCGCTAGCTTAACTGAGGTGAAAACAGGCTGTTGAAAAACAACAAGATTTAATGATGGGTAATGATAATCCTGTAGAAAAAGAAGATCACATGGATCTTATTGGAGTGACAGCCTAGTGGCCTTTTTGACTTATTAAGGAAATGTTTGAGTCCTCTCATTTGCAGTGGATTAAAATCGAGGCCACACAAACTCCACCTGTGTCCCTGGCTATGGACTAGAGCTTCAGGGAATTAGTGATGTATCAGAGGATAGAAGCAAAAGAAGTACTCACTGCTTTCTCTTCATATACCCCTCAAAAATTGTGAGCTTACTCAGTGAGCTTGTATTTTTCTGATTTCCCACTGATAGAGATTCCATTTTTCCAAGGAGTAACTTTTTAGAAGAAAAATGTACAAATACTCTTTCTTTCATAAGAAAAATCTCAGGGAAGTTTCTTGTTTCAGGCAAGAATGGGGATACTCTTCCACTCTCTAAAAATGCAGATCATTTACTGCACCTAAAGACAAAGGTAAGGAAGTTTGTTTAGGCTCTGAATTCTAGAGCCTGAATTCTAGGCTCATAATTCCCATTCTGAATTTTGAGGTTACTTAGTTTGCATCATAAATTGTATAAATTCTAAAACTATTTGAATGAAGGACTGTGTCACCAGGACTGGGTTTCCTGTGATTATAAGTAGGACGTTGAGGATTTATTAGATGGATGTATACAGGAAATAGGTTTCTCTTCTTTTGATATTATTATGAAAATAATGTGCTTTTATTTATTTATTTATTTATTTATTTATTTATTTATTTTTGAGACGGAGTTTCACTCTTGTTGCCCAAGCTGGAGTGCAATGGCACCACCTCAGCTCACCGAAACCTCCGCCTCCTGGGTTCAAGCGATTCTCCTGCTTTAGCCCCCCAAGTAGCTGGGATTACATGCATGCGCCACCACGCCCGGCTAATTTTTTGTATTTTTAGTAGAGATGGGGTTGGTCAGGCTGGTCTTGAACTCCCGACCTCAGGTGATCCGCCCGCCTTGGCCTCCCAAAGTGCTGGGATTATAGGCGTGAGCCACCGCGCCCAGCCATGTGCATATTTTTAAAAACTCAAATAGTACAAAAGGGTATACAATGAAAAAAAAATCATTTTGTGAGTTTTTAAAAACTACATACATGTTACATTCAACTTTTCTTTATTCTCCAGATTCTTTTTTGTTTGGTTAGTTGGTTGGTTTTTTTGTTTGTTTGCTTACTTTTTTGAGGCAGGGTCTCATTGTGTTATCCAGGCTGGAGAGCAGTGGCACGGTCACGGCTCACTGCAGCCTCAACCTCCCAGGCTCAGGTGATCCTACCACTTCACCCTCCCAGGTAGCTGGGACTACAGGTGTGCACCACCATGCCCGGCTAATTTTTTGTAGAGTCAGGGTTTCACCATGTTGTCCAGACAGGTCTTGAACTCCTGGGCTCAAGCAATCCTCCACCTCAGCCTCCCAAAGTGCTGGGATTACAGGCATGACCCACTGTACCTGGCCTTCAAATGTTCTTCATTTGCTATTTCTTAGAAGTCTTTAAAGCAGAACGCCGTACACAAAACAGAAAATAAGTACTTCAAACCACCTATCCTCCAGAGCTTTCCTTCAGTAAATGCCTCCCTGCTCAGGTTTCTGAAGTTGGGGTCTAGTATGAGGCTATCTATGAAGTATTCAAAGGGCCAAAATAAGAATAGACCTCCATTCTTGGATTTGGAAATCAAAGCCATGCCTTTTAGGTGCTCTGCCTCTGAAATAATCATATTAATGCAGACCACACGAGGATCGAGATTATGTGTAGATATCTGTGGGTATGTCCAGAGTGGCAAGAGCTTGAGGCGTCATGTCCCAGTGCACCTTGTTATGTGAAGTTTAATTGCACATTCATCTTGATTCCTGATATTGCCAGGGTCCTGAGAACATTATCTGTAGCTGTATCTCCCCATGTGGAAGTTGGATAGCCTATTCTACAGTTTCTCGGTTTTTTCTCTATCGGCTGAATTATGAACATGACAACATAAGCCTCAAAAGGGTAAGTGATAGTCCAATATCTGGTCACATAAGAGGAAACTTCCTAAATATGTCATTTTTGTGTGAAGTGGAAATCAACTGGATGTGAATCCTTGCTCAGTTAAAAACTATTTGGAGATTTGGAGAAGGCTGTTATGAAACAGTGTTTTATTTCTTTCTTTCTTTTTTTTTTTTTTTTTGAGACGGAGTTTTGCTCTTGTCACCCAGGCTGTAGTGCAATGGCACAGTCTTGGCCCACTGCAACCTCCGCCTCTTGGGTTCAAGCGATTCCTGTGCTTCAGTCTCCCGAGTACCTGGGATTACAAGCACCCACCACCACACCTGGCTGATTTTTGTATTTTTAGTAGAGATGGAGTTTCACCACCCGTTGGCCATGCTGGTCCTGAACTCCTGACCTCAAGTGATTCACCCGCCTCAGCCTCCCAAAGTGCTGGGTGCTGGCATTACAGGCGTGAGCCACCGCACCCAGCCTTTTTTTTTTTTTTGACCGAGTTTCACTCTTGTCACCCAGGCTGGAGTGCAATGGCACCACCTCAGCTCACCGCAATCTCTGCCTCTCGGGTTCAAGCCATTCTCCTGCCTCAGCCTCCCGAGTAGCTGGGATTACAGGTGCCCACCACCAGGCCTGGCTACTTTTTGTATTTTTAGTAGAGATGGGGTTTCACCACGTTGGCCAGGCTGTCCTGAACTCCTGACCTCAGGTGATCCACCCCCTCAGCCTCCCAAAGTGCTGGGATCACAGGCATGAGACACTGCGCCCGGCCCACACCCAGCCTTTATTTCCATTTTGAAATTTTGAGGTATGTTCTTAGAGGGATAGGGTAATGCCCTACAGGCAATAAAATTAAAGCTTTTCTGTTTAGTGGTTTCACGTGCGACTTAGTTATTTCCTTGATAGAGAAGTGAATATTTAGTAAAGAGATGAAAGGGGGATGTATAGATTACTGGAGAGAAACCAGTGTTCTGTGCCGAGTCAGTTGGCTTACTTAGAGACAGGAAGCATTAATGTACCTTAAGCCTAGCTGTGATTGTTTCTGATGGGCTGTAGGTCTCCCTTCTCTCACTGGCTTTTATTATTGGTTCACCCAAAGGTTTCCAAAATGCCAGCATTCCTTCGCTCTGCCCTTCAGATTTTGTTTTCTGAAGATTCAACAAAGCTCTTTGTAGCATCAAATCAAGGAGCTCTGCATATTGTTCAGCTGTCAGGAGGAAGCTTCAAGCACCTGCATGCTTTCCAGCCTCAGTCAGGTGGGAATCTGGTAACTGGCCATGGGGAGACTTGTCGTGTCTAAGATGTAACTTTTTTGCTTTTAAGCCTCCATGTCGGGGGTTCCCTCATGTTCCTCCTACCCTGCAGATACACTCACTCACATGTTTGCTGTTTCAAGTAGGAGGAGATAGCTGGCAGATGAAGACTCTCGATGAGATCTGCAATGTTCTTCACACCTACTCTTTTCTCACTGGGTTTTTGATTCCTTATTTGGGGCCAGAGAAATTTCATCATCCTTAGTTTGTTAGCAGAACAAGAAGAAAGTTAAAGTCATTTGCAATCCTGACACCCAGAAATAGCTACCATTAATATTTTGGTATTTTCTAATATGTATTTGTATATAAGTATTTTGTGGGCATGTTGCCTTTTTTGGTTGTTTGTTCATAAAAAGGTACAATCATAGATGGCTGCCACCTCGACCTCTTGGGCTCAAGTTATCTTCCCATCTCAGCATCCTGAGTAGCTGGGACTATAGACACTCACCACTATGCCCAGCTAATTTTTTCATTTTTTTTGTAGAGACGGGGTCTCATTATGTTGACAAAGTTGGTCTTGAACTCCTGGGGTCAAGTGATCCTCCCATCCTGCCCTCCCAGCTGAGATTATAGGCATGAGCCACTGTGCCTGGCCCAAAAGTATTCTTATACATACAGTTTAATTACCTGTGTTCATATAATGTTCCTGAGAATTTTTCTGTTTTCATTGAGAATGTGAGTATTAATGAATGAGTGTGGCTATGTAGCTAGCTATGGCTAACTGTTAAGGACTTGGACTCAGTTTCCAGATTAAGCTGGTAGTTGTTTTGATACTTCCTATGGGCCTTTCACCTCTCCCTTGTCCTGGATTTTAGCTGCTGCTTCACTGTCATTTACACTCCCATCAGCCTGGAAAGTCAACTCTTTTTTTTTTTTTTTTTTTTTTTTTTTTTTGAGATGGCCTCACTCTGTTGCCGAGGCTGGAGTGCAGTGGTGCGATCATGGCTCACTGCAGCCTCACCCTCCCCAGGCTCAGAAAATCCTTCCACCTCAGCCTCCCAAGTACACAGGAGCATACCACCACACCCAGCTAAGTTTTGTATTTTTGTAGAGACAGGGTTTCACCATGTTGCCCATCCTGGTCTTAAACTCCTGGGCTGAAGCAATCCTCCTGCCTCAGCCTCCCAAAGTGCTAGGATTACAGGTGTGAGTCACCATGCCTAGTGAAAGTCAACTCTTTTATCTTCAACTCTCACTGTTCATAAGCTGATCCAGAAGCCTACAGGAGAAGAAACCCACAAGTTAGGGGTCAGATAAATCAAACTATTTATTATCTATATATGTTTTTATTACAAAACTTAGGCTATTTATCTTATATCTAGCTCTCCTTGAGATTCGACTCTACATTATGTATATGACTTTATTTTTTCCACTTCTCTCATCTCACTTCCCCTTGTAGTCAAAATGGTTTCTTCACAGCTCTCAAACCTGCATATTCTACTCCTCGTCACTTAGCTTGCACTGTTCCCCATCCTTTTTTCCTCATCCCCACCCATCCTTTGGCAGCTGGGTTATGCTTGTTATAAAGCCATGTTATCGTTTGGGGGCGTTACATGCAGCACGCATTTTGGTATAGAGCATCACTGTCCAATTTTTATCCCACACTAGTTGTCGTGTTGCCAGATTGGTTTAAAGTCTCTAGATGACAAAGATGGCTCAGACGTGCCCATCCTCCCTTAGTGCTAAATACACAGCAGGCATCCAATAAATTAAAGATATGCTTCAAGTCTATTGAACTTGCTGTTTGTCCGTAACTTTTTTTTTTATTATTAATTTATTTATTTTTGAGATAGAATTTCAAAAGACAGAGTTTCTTGTGCCCAGGCTGGAGTGCATTGGTGCCATCTCGGCTCACTGCAACCTTTGCCTCCCAGGTTCAAGTGATTCTCCTGCCTCAGCCTCCCTAGTAGCTGGGATTACAGGCACCCACAACCACGCCCAGCTATTTTTTTTTTGTACTCTTAGTAGAGATGGGGTTTCACCATCTTGGCCAGGCTGGTCTTGAACTCCTGACCTCAGGTAATCCACCTACCTCTGCCTCCCAAAGTGCTGGGATTACAGGTGTGAGCTACCACGCCTGGCCTGTCCATAATTTTGGCTTAAAAAAAATTTAGGGGCCGGGCACAGTGGCTCACACCTCCCAGCACTTTTGGAGGCCGAGGTGGGCAGATCATAAGGTCAAGAGATCGAGACCATGCTGACCAAAATGGTGAAACCCCATCTCTACTAAATATACAAAAATTAGCTGGGTGTGGTGGTGCACGCCTGTAGTCCCAGCTACTTGGGAGGCTGAGGCAGGAGAATGGCTTGAACCCGAGAGGCAGAGGTTGCAGTGAGCCGAGATTGCACCACTGCACTCCAGCCTGACAACAGAGTGAGACTCCGTCTAAAAAAAGAAAAAAGAAAGAGGCCAGGCACGGTGGCTCACGCCTGTAATCCCAGCACTTTGGGAGGCCAAGGTGGGCGGATCATCTGAGGTCAGGAGTTCAAGACCAGCCCAGCCAACATGGTGAAACCCCATCTCTACTAAAAATACAAAAATTAGCCAGGCATGGTGGTGGGTGCCTGTAATCCCAGCTAGTCAGGAGGCTGAGGCGGGTGAATCACTTGAATTTGGGAGTTGGAGGTTGGAGTGAGCGGATCCGCCACTGCACTCCAGCCCGAGTGACAGAGCTAGACTCCATCTCAAAAAAAAAAAAAACAAAAAACAGAAAAAAAACCATTTGGTAGGAAAGGAGTTTGAAACAATTAAAGTATATATTTTAGTGGCAGATGCTGCCGTCATTCTCTATTCCTGTAGTAAGCAGTGTCTTAGGCCTGAGGAAGTAATAACTTCTGTTTTATCTCTCTGGACCTTCTTTACAGGCGGGATGGTTAAATAAGTAGATGAAAAAAGTAGAAACATTAACATCTAGAAGTAATTTGCACAGTGATCAGCAAATTATCCTGGCAGTGATTTAAAACTCTAATGGTCTCCTTGGCTTTTGCCATCATCTCCAGGGCAGGTCTGGCTGTGGACACTGTGTGAATTCAGAGATGTAACTGTTTTGTCCTCACAGGAACAGTGGAGGCCATGTGTCTTTTGGCAGTCAGTCCAGATGGGAATTGGCTAGCTGCATCAGGTACCAGTGCTGGAGTCCATGTCTACAACGTAAAACAGCTAAAGGTGAGCATAGGGTTTCATGGCAGCAGTTTGAATCATTGTACAGGAGCCAGTTCACCCTGCAGTTACAAGATTCAAGGCAGATTGGCATGACCTGGAAATTTATTAGACTTTTTTCTTTTTATTTTCTTTTCTTTTCTTTTTTTTTTTTTTTTGAGACAAAGTCTTACTCTGTCACCCAGGCTAGAGTGCAGTGGCGCGATCTCGGCTCACTGCAACCTCAGCCTCCCGGGTTCAAATGATTCTCCTGTCTCAGCCTCCTGAGTAGCTGGGATTACAGGTGTGTGCCTCCACACCTGGCTAATTTTTGTATTTTAATAGAGACAGGGTTTCACCATGTTGCTCAGGCTGACCTTGAACTCCTGAGCTCAGGCAATCCGCCCACCTCGGCCTCCCAAAGTGCTAGGATTACAGGCATGAGCCACCGCGCCTGGCCAGACTTTTTTCTTTTTAACTAATAATTTTTCCAGGTTTGGAATCCTGTTTTATTTTTATGGAACCCGGAAGCTATACTGTGTAACATTAAAAGCAGCTAATGGAAACAGTGAAACCCATTCATACCTGGAAATTTGAAATTAATGATCTGTGGGTGATGTAAACACATCCAGGTTCTTTCTGTATTTTCGGGAGGAAAATTCTGATATACACAGACAAATAGTTGCAGATAATAAGAGTTCCTTTCATGGCTTGCCTTGTAATCTCAAGGTAAACATAATCAAAACTTCGAAAAAGGAATACTGGGAAAACATTTTTCACTAATCAGTAATGACGCTGTCAGTCATAAATTGAGTCATTAGTGATCCCTTACAAGTCCTCATCTTCATTATAAGAATCAGATTCGAACTACCCAAAACTTGGAATAAGCATTAAAAGTGTATAGAATAACATCAAACTGCAACACTTAATGGGTTTACCTGTTAACTGCATAGTGTAACCTTTGTTGCATTATGGTAGGAGCATGTACTGAGCACTTGTCTTTGAGCCTTGCCTGGCATTTAAAGAGTGTTTGTGTGTAGCGTGCACATGCTTTGCAATTGTACATAAAAATCCATGCCTAGGCATTTATTTATTTTAAACCTGGTGTAGAGCTGTAGACTCCCTATTCAATGACACATTTATAAGCAGTTTGTACAGATGGATTTACTCAGAGGGAAAGGCTTTACTCTCAGTTCTCCACAAACGCTGTTAGTTTTGTACGCGGTTAAATAAGCTTTTTATTTTTTTGAGACAGGGTTTCACTCTGTCACCCAGACTGAGTGCAGTGGCACAGTCACAGCTCACTGCAGCCTTGACCTCTCTGCTCAAGCGATCCTTCCACCTCAGTGTCCTGAGTAGCTGGGACTACAGGCGAGTCCCACCACACCTAGCTAATCTTTTTTTTTAGTAGAGATGAGGTTTTGCTGTGTTGCCCAGGCTGGTCTTGAACTCCTGGACTCAAGCGTTCCTCCCGCCCTGGCCCTTCCGAAGTGCTGTAGTTACAGGTGTGAGCCACTGCGCCCAGCCAATAGGCCTTTTGTTTTTTTTTTGAGATTGAGTCTTGCACTGTTGCCCAGGCTGGAGTGTGGTGGCGCAGTCTCTGCTCACTGCAACCTCCGCCTCCTAGGTTCAAGTGATTCTCCTGCCTCACCCTCCTGAGTAGCTGGGATTACAGGCGCACGCCACCACACCCAGCTAATTTTTTTAATTTTTGGTAGAGATGGGGTTTCACCATGTTGGCCAGGCTGGTCTCAAACTCCTGACCTCGTGATCCGCCTGCCTTGGCCTCCCAAAGTGCTGGGATTATAGGCATGAGCCACTGCGCCCGGCCAACCAATAGGTATTTTTTTAAGAAAATGAGGACTGGTGCGGTGGCTTACGCCTGTAATCCCAGCACTTTGGGAGGCCGAGGTGGGTGGATCATGAGGTCAGAAGTTCAAAACCAGCCCGGCCAACATAGTGAGACCCCGTTTCTACTAAAAATACAAAAATTAAGCCAGGTGCAGTGGTTCACGCCTATAATCCCAACACTTTGGGAGACCAAGGTGGGTGGATCACCTGAGGTCAGGAGTTTGAGACCAGCCTGGCCAACATGGTGAAACCCCGTCTCTACTAAAAATACAAAAATTAGCCAGGCATGGTGGTGGGTGCCTGTAATCCCAGCTGCTCGGGAGGCTGAGGCAGGAGAATCACTTGAAACCGGAAGGTGGAGGTTGCAGTGAGTCAAGATCATGCCATTGCACTCCAGCCTGGGAGAAAGAGTGAAACTCCATCTCAAAAAAAAAAAAAAGAAAAACAAAAAATTAGCCGGGTGTGGTGGTAGGCGCCTGTAATCCCAGCTACTTGGGAGGCTGAGGCAGGAGAATCACTTGAACCTGGGAGGCAGAGGTTGCAGTGAGCTGATTATCACGCCACTGCACTCCAGCCTGGGTGACAAGAGCGAAACTCCATCTCAAAAAAAAAAAAAAGAGAAGAAAAAGAAATGAAAGTTCATTGGTTGGGGAAATGCCTGAAATTTTTGGAACTTCCCTAGAACCCTTTTGAATTATGAGGAGCAGTATTTAAACCCCTGACCTAGACCATTCAATCTTTGCTGAGGAAAAGTGTCACTTAGAGTTGCCACTTGTGTCTGTTATTTGTTCCCAGCTTCACTGCACGGTGCCTGCTTACAATTTCCCAGTGACTGCTATGGCTATTGCCCCCAATACCAACAACCTTGTCATCGCTCATTCGGACCAGCAGGTAAGGGAGATTCCAGTGCTTTCTATTCCCTTCCTGCTGGATAGTAACCTAGAAGCTGGAATATTGGGCAGTTGCGGGGAGCTTTTTTTTGAAGGTGTTGGAGGATATAAGGTAGTTTTCTCCTGTGTGAAGTAAAGCTTCCTTGCCGGTCTGGGCTCATCATAGGCCAGCAGTATGCATTGGTTTGATGGGATGCAATTTAAATGGAGAAGCACTAAGATTCTAGAGTAAAGAATCACAAGAGGGAGGAGGAATTTTGAAGTACTCATTTTCCTGATTGTTTTAGAGGAGAGATGACATGGGCTTGGGTATTAAACTGGATATGGGATGGAATAAGATTTTGAGAGTTGAAAGTGACTAAAAGATTGTATCATTCACCTTTACGCTTGCCGATGAGGAAATCAAGCCCTAATAAGATCAGGTACCTAATCTCAGCCAAAATTAGAACCTAATCTACTTTTTTCTATACCAATTTGTAAGGAGATTGTGATTATAAGGAGATCTTTAAAAAAACAAAAAACCTGGGCTGCGGAATATATTAGGAAGTTATCAATAATTATATTAGGAAGTTATCAATAATTCATCTGTAAAATTGGAGATGTTAATATCTACCTCACTGAGCTGTTGGGAAGATTAAATGTAATCCAGGAAGCACATTTAAGTAGAGTGCTAGGCAAATGATGCTTACTGCTTTGATGGTCAGTTTGTTTTTTTTTTTTTTTTTTTGAGACAGAGTCTCGCTCTGTCGCCCAGGCTGGAGTGCAGTGGTGCGATCTCCGATCACTGCAAGCTCCGTCTTCCGGGTTCATGTCATCCTCCTGCCTCAGCCTCCCGAGTAGCTGGACTACAGGCGCCCGCCACCATGCCCGGCTAATTTTTTGTATTTTTAGTAGAGATGGAGTTTCACCATGTTAGCCAGGATGGTCTCGATCTCCTGACCTTGTGATCCGCCCGCCTCGGCCTCCCAAAGTGCTGGGATTACAGGCTTGAGCCACCGCGCCCGGCTGATGGTCAGTTTTTACACTCACACATGCACACACACACTGTCCAAAAAGTGAAATCTCTCAGTTTTATAGATTTGAGTCCTTGACCAAAGACTGAAAGAGTAGTGAAGCCACACATCTTTGCCTTTGTCACACATAATGATAATTTCCCCCATGACACCTTTTACTGGCACTTAGTCCCTTAAGTGCTTCTGAAAGTAAAACTGATGGGAAGTTTTTTATATCTGTTAGATTAGCAAAGATCAAAGACTTGATAATATACAGTGTTCTGAAGGTATAGGGAAACAGTACTCTCACACATTGTGTAAATTATCCTAACCCTTTTGGAGGACATGTTGGCAATACCTTAAAAATTTTAAAGTCCACATGGTCTTTGACTTAGAAATTTCAGTTCTAATCATTCTTTATATATATATATATATATGTATATATATATCTGTATATAGATATATATGCTTCTAGCTGTGCAAAAAGACATTTATACAGAGACAGCTTTGTTTGTAGTAGACAAAGATATGAAACAAGCTAATGTCCATTAAGCAGAGTGGATAAGTAAATCATGATACATGGACAAAATGAGTGGACTATTCTGTGTTTCAGAATGGGCATGACCGATATATATGTGTATTAATGTGGGTCAGTCTCCGTGATATAACACTGAGCAACAAAAGCAAGATACAGAACGCTATGTATTATGTGCATAAAATAGCTCTGAAAAGATGGGCAGGGCGCGGTGGCTCACGCCTGTAATCCCAGCACTTTGGGAGGCTGAGGCGGGCAGATCACGAGGTCAGGAGATCAAGACCATCCTGGCTAACACAGTGAAACCCCATCTCTACTAAAAATACAAAAAATTAGCCGGGCGTACTCGTGGGCGCCTATAGTCCCAGCTATTTGGGAGGCTGAGGCAGGAGAACGGCTTGAACCGGGGAGGCGGAGCTTGCAGTGAGCGGAGATCACGCCACTACACTCCAGCCTGTGTGGCAGAGTGAGACTCCATCTCAAAAAAAAAAAAAAGTGTTGGGAGAGCATAGAATGAATATAATACAGTTGAAGCTTTGTATAGATACTTTCTGGTTAGGGATGAGAATGCCCTTCTGGTCTTTCTGAGTACCAGCCTGCATTTCTCTATGTCATGTCCTCCCTCAGGTATTTGAGTACAGCATCCCAGACAAACAGTATACAGATTGGAGCCGGACTGTCCAGAAGCAGGGCTTTCACCACCTTTGGCTCCAAAGGGATACTCCTATCACACACATCAGTTTTCATCCCAAGAGACCGATGCACATCCTTCTCCATGATGCCTACATGTTCTGCATCATTGACAAGTCATTGGTGAGTTCTTCACTGCTACCTCCCAAATCTTCTTCTGAATCTTAAAGTTCTAAAAGCAACAAGTACAATAAGGTAAGAGGACAGAGACTCAGAATAAAGGTAGCTAGTAAATCAGAATACAGGTAGCTAGTACATTTCTTGGAGGAGAGGGGCTTTTGTTTTACAGATTCCCTGGTTTGTGTTCCCACAGTTCTTCGGGAGGCTCTCGGGGAAGGGGCTGGCCTTTGTATACTGGCTTTTGCTGATTTGACTATTTGTCTACTTTGCGAGTAAGCACATAAATCTTACACAGAAAAGTGATTAGGCCAGTATTCGGAAGGTGACCCTCATCCGGAAGTATCATTGATTTGGCTAACTTGCTTTCAACTTTGAACTCTGGGGTATCTGAATAACCTGGTTTCATTAAAGGAGGTACAGGCTGAGGTTTTGACCTCTGTGCCCCTTCGCTAAAGCTACTAAAACGCTGTCTGCAGGCTTGAGGAACTGGTCTTAACATCTTCGAAAAACCCAGCTAGGAAAATTCTTCATGGCTGTGATTTACATGGGATACGAGCATTTTCTTCAGTTTTAGATTCTGTCCTCTTTGCCAGCTGCTGTTTTGATTCACCCTGAATTTGTATGGCTTTTCTGGGCAGGTGCTTTGTTTCCTAGGAGCATTGTGGCCATGCCTGTCCTGCACTTTGGGCTTAGATTACAACCATCACACGGTGTTTTGGTGTGTTTGTGAAGGTGGGGGTGGAAGGAACATGGGGGAAAGCAGCAGATGGCTCTAAAGGAGGTGTGCACGGGGATGTGTCACTGGAATCATCTCGTGGGCCCTGCGACCTCTGGGTGTGGGAAGCAGAGCTGGCTGACAAGTGCCTTCTGCAAGATGAGTGATACAGGAAGGGCCCCTCCCACTCTCTTGCCTCTTTGTAATTGAGCCCAGATCATTTTTTCCAAAGCATTGGCTTTAAGTTCATCGCTTCCTTACAGTAGGCATAGCTATTTCCCAGGAAGTCAGAGACAAAATATCATTTCTTTGGCCAGAGGCCACCTCGAGGTGTCAGTGACATCAGCACAGGTGGTTTGTGTTGAGGTTTCGCCTGGGGAGAACTCCAGTCACTTGTCCAGTCTGTGATCTGGTTGGGGGAGAGTCTAGAAAGCACAGACCCTGTGTGGGCTGAGCTCCTGCACTTGCCAGTTTGTTCCATTCTGACAAAGTGATACTGATGAGACAGGCCAGAAGCCGCAGAAGGGCCCTTTGATCTTGCTGCATGGAGTTAACAAGCTCTCTTTGCCTCATACACCCACCCTCTACAGTGTGGCTGCAAGAGTAGCTTCAGCTCTTTCTCCCTCTCTCTCCTTTTCTTCTTTTTTTCCCCCCTAGTTTTTCTGAATAGAGGTATTATGGCTACAGCTGTTTTCCCGAATTAACGAATGTCAGGGAGGTACTGAATATATATGATGGTTAGAAGATGATGTTGGGCTCAAAATGCACTACAGATCTTTGGTCTGCAGAAGCCCAATAAAAGTAACCATTTAAACAATGTGTCTTTGTTTTTTTAGCCCCTTCCAAATGACAAAACCTTACTCTACAATCCATTTCCTCCCACGAATGAATCAGATGTCATCCGGAGGCGCACAGCTCATGCTTTTAAAATTTCTAAGATATATAAGGTAAAACATCTTGTGTTGTTATTCTGGATAGTTGGTTCCTTTGTGATACCAAAATGTAATAAACTCCACAATCGGAAGATAAGAGCACCTTCAGTTTCCATGCAGAGAACCTGGCTTGTGGGAGACAAGTCACCTTTTTGAGGCTGGCTGTCCCTTGTATATGTTTTATTGTTCTTGCCTTAGTAGGTTAGAGGCAGGCACATCATACTTAACCAAAATGAAATGCGTAAGTAGTGAGAAATGTTGGCGCTGAGGGTAGAGTCTTTGTTGTCATGAGAGCTGGCTTTAAATTTTACTTGTTGGAGTGTTCCATAGGATAAATGTCAAGCAGGCTGGGCTTGGTAGCTCATACCTGTAATCCCAGCACTTTGGGAGGCCAAGGCAGGTGGATCTCCTCAGCCCAGGAATTCAAAACCAGCCTGGGCACCATGGTGAAACCCCATCACTATTAACAAAAAAAAAAAAAGGAGAGTTCTGTAAATTACTGATTACTCAAATGTGATTAGCTTCTTGATGCATTTGTAGCTTGCCAGTTGTCAGTTGCCTTAGGCTGGGTATGGTGATTCACGCCTGTAATCTCAGTACTTTAGGAGGTTGAGGCTGGAGTTCAAGACCAGTCTGGGCAACATAGTGAGACCCTGTCTCTACAAAAAAAAAAAAAATATAAAAATTAGCTAGGTGTGGTGGAGCATGCCTGTAGTCCCAGCTGCTCAAGAGGCTGAGATGGGAGGATAGCTTGTGCTCAGGAGTTCAAGGCTGCGGTGAGTATGATTGCACCACTGCACTCCAGGCTGGGTAACATCGAGATTCTGTCTGAGAAAAAAAAGAACTTAGACTTTAAAGTCCTTGCTTAACATTGATTCTTGAGATATAAGAAGCATAGATTTTCTATCCAGAGAAATGTAAAAAAATCCTGCTGAGACCTTTTATGAGTGAACTTAGTTAAAAGCTCCCAATCTTGGCCGGGCGCAGTGGCTCACGCCTGTAATCCCAGCACTTTGGGAGGCCAAGGTGGGCGGATCACGAGTTCAGGAGATCGAGACCATCCTGGCTAACACGGTGAAACCCCATCTCTACTAAAAATACAAAAAATTAGCCGGGCGTGGTGGTGGGCACCTGTAGTCCCAGCTACCCGGGAGGCTGAGGCAGGAGAATGGCGTGAACCCGGGAGGCGGAGCTTGCCGTGAGCCGAGATTGCGCCACTGCACTCCAGCCTGGGCGGCAGAGCGAGACTCTCTGTCTCAAAAAAAAAAAAAAAAAAAAAAAAAGGCTCCCAATCTTGAGCCAGGCGCAGCCGTGCACACCTACCTATTGTCCCAGCTACTCAGGAGACTGAGGCAGGATGATTGCCCAGGAGTTCAGGGCTTCAGTGCACGTTGATCATGTCTATGAATGACCACTGCTCTCCTGCCTAGGCAACATAGCAAGATCTCTAAAAAATAAAAAAAAAAGCTTTTATGCATTCCAACTATTTTGAGTCCCAGGGCAGGAAAGATTGTCAAGAAATTTAAATCATTTGAGCCTTGAACTAGGCTAACCTTTTAGCTTAGATGGTGTCTACCTACAGTCAGTTCTTTCAGGACTAGCCCTGGATCCTAAGTCCTGATAGAATAATTATCATCCCTCTGCAGCCTCTACTCTTCATGGATCTTTTGGATGAAAGAACACTCGTGGCAGTAGAACGGCCTCTGGATGACATCATTGCTCAGCTCCCACCACCCATTAAAAAGAAGAAATTTGGAACCTAAAACAGGGCACTGTCTGTGTCCTTCCTTGAACTGTCTACCCTGTTGCTTTTCACAAATCATGGTAATAAAACAAGTTATTCTTGAGGACTAGTCATTATAAATGTTTTCTTCCAAAATAATGGACAGTCATTTCCCTTCATTGAATGAAAATGAATGGAAATTCCAAATGAGGTATTTGTATTGGGGATAATGTGCTCAGTAGCTACAAACTCATCTAATGTTGATTGAGTCCTGCTTATTCTGTAGGCCGCAATCTCAGAAGAAAAGATATTTGTGTTCTGTTCCCTATTACATGCCTAAGGCTTCAGAGAGCTGATAGCCTTCACTTCCTGCCAGCCCCCAGCCCATGGAACTGCGTAGGAATCTGCCCATCCTCGCCCTGGAGGGCAGAGGACCGTAATTACTTACCCAGGATAGCCTGACCACTAATAACCATAATCAGCCTTAGAGTTCAAGGAAGAATTTCAACTCCAGCATTATAAGGGAGTGCTCCATCTAAAAAATAGATGCCTTTGACCTTTGACAGTCAGCCGTTAATTTTATTTAAAAGTAAAAAAAGCTTGGGTTATCAGTCCCATTAACTGCCTTTTTACCTGTTATGTGCTGGTTTCAAAAGGTATGGAAGGGCCAGGCATGGTGGCTCATGCCTGTAATCCCAGCATTTTAGGAGGCCAAGGTGGGAGCATCCTTGAGTCCAGAGACCAACCCGGGCAACATAGGGAGACCCTATCCCTAAAGAAATACAATATGAAAAAAAAGATACAGGAGCTGGGCACACATCAGTAGTCCCAGCTACTCGAGAGGCTCAGTGGAGCCCAGGAGCTTGAGACCATAGTGTGCTATGATCATACTGGTGAATAGCCACTGCACTCCAGCCTGGGCAACATAGTGTGAGACCCTGTCTCTTTAAAAAAAAAAAAAAAAAAAAGGGTAAGGAAACACTGGGCAGGAATTTTGTTAGGGATTAAGAGTAGAGATGGGGACCCGAGAGCCCACCATGTATTTCACATTTTTCATTCTCTTCTACCTGCTCTGACATTGTTATTCCCACGTGTGTTATCAACTGGCCAGTTTTAATGTGATCTTTAAATTAGAAAGTGAAGAACTCTAGTTAACTAAACTGAGCAGATAGATTTCTTTCCCTTCTCGGGATGTATTCTGTTGCATGCCTGCGTAAACCCAGTTTGTGTGGTTTTTGTTTGTTTGTTTTGGGGATGGAGGGCTGAAGTGTGGGCAGAGAAGTGTGTGGGTTCTGATAACATCTTGAATGAAGGGTTGGTGAAAAACATTTTGCTATGATTAGCCCCACTCTCCATTCTGGAAAGGGAAAATAAATGAGGATTTAAGGTAGATGTTTGGGGGGAGAATTAACAGAGAGAGAGAGGTTATAAGAGAGATAAACAGAGCCCAATAATTTATCACATAAAGGACAGCCTATTTTAGGTTTGATAAGAAAGAACAGATATGATAAGATTTATAATGGATGTCTTTGCCTCTGCCCCACCTGTTAGGTTTTACAGTGATAGGAGTAATTTAAACAAATACCTGCTGGGCGCCATGGCTGTAATCCCAGCACTTTGGGAGGCTGAGACTGGCAAATAGCTTGAACTGAGGACTTTGAGACCAGCCTGGGCAACATGGTGAAACTCCATCCCTACAAAACATACAAAAATTAGCCAGGCGTGGTGGCAAGCACCTGTAGTCCCAGCTTCTCAGGAGGCTGAGGTGGGAGGATTGCTTGAGCCCAGGAGGAAGAGGCTGCAGTGATCCCTGAGCACGCCGCTGCACTCCAGCCTAGATTTTTTTGAGACCCTCTCTCAAAGAAAACAAAATACCTGCAACTTTTTAGGTCACCTGTGTAAAAAAAAACTTGCCTCTTGTTGAATACATTTTTTTCTGTAAGGTATATTTTTCCAGTCTGGATTAGACTGGACTATTAGGGACCTTTTTAGTTTACTGAAGATTCTGTCCTTTCTAAGAAATGTTTTAAGTGGTTGAAATGACAAGTTCAAGTTGCTGGTCTACATTGAATACTTGTGAACAGATGGAGGCTAGGATGCCTTAAATAGTAACTCACTTGTGGCCCGGTGCAGTGGCTCACACCTGTAATCCCAGCACTTCGGGAGGCCAAGGCAGGCAGATCACTTGAGGTTCAGGAGTTCAAGCCAGCCTGGCCAACATGGCAAAACCCCATCTCTACTAAAAATACAAAACTTAGCCAGGCATGGTGGCACACGCCTGTAATCCCAGCTACTTGGGAGGCTGAGGCAGGAGAACTGCTTGAACCTGGGAAGCAGAGGTTGCAGTGAGCCAAGATCGCACAGAGCGAGACTCCATCTCAAAATAAAATAATAAATTAACTCACTTGCTTTTCACTCGTTGTAGAGCTGTAAATTCAGAGAATCCTTGTCAACTGGAATCTAGTTTATGGCTTAACTTACTTAAATTCTAAAATCTTGTGGGTTGTGGAGGATGTAATTCTCACAGAGAGAGCCCACAGATCATCTGAATGAGGAAGTAAAAGTTCTGAAAGTAGAAAGCATTCCTTTTCAACTTTTCCAGCCAGTGATTTGTACTTCCTTAAATGGTATGGGAAGTAAGTGCTTTGGGCCTTGAAATTCTTCCGAAGTAGAAAACTTGGAATACAAATGAAGCAGAAACTGACTAGGGCAAGTTAGAGAAATTGGGGGAAGGGAAGGGAGGGGAAAGGAGGGGAGGGAATGTGAGGGGAAGGGACTGTGGGAGAGGGGAGAGGAGGGGAGGGGATGTGAGGGGAAGGGAAGGGAAGGGAAGGAAAACCAGTATTAAAAAAGGGGAACGCTTTAGTGCATGGGTTTCAGGGTGTTTTTACTTTGGGGGTTTGTGTAACCTAGACATTTAAAACGTTTCCCTCTTGGCGTTATGTTTCTGTTTTGGCCATTTTGCATACCTCTGCTCATTCTTGGGTTCTACAGAAAAATTCTGATTTGAAACCAGCCCAGGAACGGTCTTTTTTGCCAATCTGACTCAAATGCTTTAAAAATTCACTCTTCTCATGTACTGGTTAGTAAACTAATCTCTGAATGGATAATTCACATGTACCGTGGAGAGTATAGCAAATTCAACTAAGAAGAACTAAAATCTTGGAATATTGGAAGATAGAGACCATCAAATTTGGGGGTTTTTAGGCTTTCTTTTGAGCATCAACCTTTCTTTAAATGGTACTTAATACCGAACCACAATGTATGCTGTAGATAAAAATGAAGTTATTCCTATTGGGTGGAGATGAAGCAGGAGTTTGTAAAAGAAACGTGACTCTCAGTCTCATTTTTTTTCCTTTTTTTTTCTTCTTTTTTTTTTTTTTTTGAGACAGTCTTGCTCTGTCACCAGGCTGGAGTGCAGTGGTGCGATCTCGGCTCACTGCAACATTCGCCTTCTAGATTCAAGCGATTCCCCTGCCTCAGTCCCAAGTAGCTGGGACTGCAGGTGCCCGCCACCACGCCCGGCTAATTTTTTGTATTTTAGTAGAGACGGGTTTTCAGCATGTTGGCCAGGATGGTCTCAATCCCCTGACCTGGTGATCTGCCCACCTCGGCCTCCCAAGGTGCTGGGATTTCATGTGTAAGCCACCGTACCCGGCCATTCTCATTTTTACAGTCTTGGAAATGGGAGATCAAGAAGGGAAGAGGTAATTTTTCCCATAGTCACACATTGATTTGTTAGAGGCCAAGGTGGCATTCTTCAGCTTATTCCCCCACTATCTCAGTTATAGGACCCTAATCATAAATATGATTGTCAGAAGCATTTGAACCAAAGCAAATGTATCTTGAATAGGAGCTAGGTAAAATGAGGCTGAGACCTACTGGGCTGCATTCCCAGACAGTTAAGCCATTATGTCACTGAATGAGATAGAAGGTCGGCACAAGATACAGGTCATAAAGACCTTGCTGATGAAACAGGTTGCAGTAAAGAAGCTGGCTAAAACCCACCAAAACCAAGAAGGCCGCAAGAGTGACCTCTGGTCGTCCTCACTGCTACACTCCCACCAGCGCCATGACAGTTTACAAATGCCATGGCAACGTCAGGAAGTTACCGTATATGGTCTAAACAGGGAAGGCATGAATAATCCACTCCTTGCTTAGCATATCATCAAGAAATAACCATAAAAGGCTGGGTGCGGTGGCTCATGCCTGTAATATCAGCACTCTGGAAGGCTGTGGTGGGCAGATCACCTGAGGTCAGGAGTTCCAGACCAACCTGGCCAACTTGGTGAAACCCCGTCTCTACTAAAAAAAAATACAAAAATTAGCTGGGCATGGTGGCACACACCTATAGTCCCAGCTACTAGGGAGGCTGAGGCAGAAGAATCACTTGAACTGGGCAGGCAGAGGTTGCAGTGAGCCGAGATCGCACCACTGCACTCCAGCCTGGCGGCAGAGTGAGGCTGTGTCTCCAAAAAAAAAAGAAAAGAACCATAAAAATGGGCAACCAGCCTTGAGGCTGCTCTGGCTTTCCTTCACTTGCTTAATAAACTTGCTTTCACTTTACCAACTCGCCCTGAATTCTTTCTTGCATAAGATCCAAGAACCCTCTCTTGGGGTCTGGATTGTGACCCCTTTCCTGTAACATGATGATTAGCAGGCATGATACACAAAGGATTTTCCGTTTCGTAGGCTACAGGGAAGGTGTTTGAGCACTTGATCTAGCTGTAATATTGAGTTATGTGGGCAGTCTTTTGTGTTAGTCATATAGAGTGTAGTAATGTACAATCTAGGACATTGTCTCCTGGTGCTCATGTCTGGGTGTTTCTTGGGCCAGTTCCTGGGTGTGGCTCATACTGTGTCCATTTTCTTTCACTTTTATTTGGCCTTCGTACTGGCTGTTTTCCCATCAGCAGTGTTTGAAAGTATTTGTTTCCTTATTCCTTACCAATGTATTGGCAGACTAATTTTAGCCTATCCAATGGGTGAAAAACGCTATCTCATTTTACTCTGCATTTCCCTGTTTACTAATGAGGTTGCTCACTTTATGTGTTTGGCTGTTTGGCCAATTGCATGAATTACATATTCATAACCCTTTCTCCTTTTTTTCCCCTAATGTGTTGTCTTTTTCTTTCTTTCTGGTTTGTTTTTTTTTTTTTTTTTTTTTTTTTTTTGAGACAGTCTCACTCTGTCACCCAGGCTGGAGTGCAGTGGCGCAGTCTTGGCTCACTGCCAGCTCCGCCTCCCGGGTTCAAGGCATTCTCCTGCCTCAGCCTCCTGAGTAGCTGGGACTACAGGCGCCTGCCACCATGCCTGGCTAATTTTTTGTATTTTTAGTAGAGACGGGGTTTCACCGTGTTAGCCAGGATGGTGTCGAGCTCCTGACTTCGTGATCCGCCCAGCTCGGCCTCCCGAAGTGCTGGGATTACAGGCGTGAGCCACCGTGTCCAGCCGTGTTGTCTTTTTCTTTTAGTATTTCAAGGTATTTTATGACGTAGATCAGCACTGTCCAATAAACTTTCCGTAATGATAGAAAAGTAGGCCAAGTGTGGTGGCTCATGCCTGTAATCACAGCACTTTGGGAGGCCAAGCCGGATGAATCACCTGAGCTCAGGAGTTTGAGACCAGCCTAGGCACCATGAAACCCCGTCTCTACTAAAAATACAAAAATTAGCTGGGTGTAGTGGCGCATGCCTATAATCTCAGCTACTTGGGAGGCTGAGGTGGGAGAATTACTTGAGCCTGGGAGGTGGAAGTTGTAGTGAGCAGAGATCATGCCACTGCACTCCAACCTGGGTGACAGAGTGAGACCCCTGTATCAAAAATAAATAAGTAAGGCTGGGCACGGTTGGTCCACGCGTGTAATCCCAGCATTTTGGGAGGCCGAGGCGGGTGGATCATGAGGTCAGGAGTTCGAAGCCAGCATAAGGTGGCTCATGCCTGTAATCCCAGTGCCTTGGGAGGCTGAGGTGGGCGGATCACGAGGTCAGGAGTTGAAGACCAGCCTGACCAACTTGGTGAAACTCTGCCTCTACTAAAAATACAAAAATTAGCCAGGCATGGTGGTGTGTGCCTGTAATCCCAGCTACTCAGGAGGCTGAAGCAGGAGAATCGCTTGAACCTGGGAGGCAGAGGTTGCAGTGAGCCGAAATCGCACCACTGCACTCCTGCCTGGGTAACAGAGCAAGACTCCTTCTCAAAAAAAAAAAATTCTGTTCTTAGTCACACTAGCAACATTGCAAGTGCTCAATAGTCACATGTGCCTAGTAACTATCTTACGGCATAGCACAAATAGAAAACATTTCTGTTTTATTTATTTATTTATTTTTTGAGACGGAGTCTCACTCTGTCGCCCAGGCTGGAGCGCAGTGGCACCATCTTGGCTCACTGCAACCTCCACCTCCTGGGTTCAAGCGATTCTCCTGCCTCAGCCTCCCAAGTAGCTGGGACTACAGGCATGCGCCACCATGCCCGGCTAATTTATATATATATATATGTATACACACACACACACACACACACACACACATATATATACACACACACACATATATATACACACATATATATAATATATATGTGTGTGTGTGTGTGTATGTGTATATATATATACACATATATATATTTTTTTAACTCTGAACTTTTTATTGGCCTCCTGCTCCTCAAAGGGTACCCTGCTTCTGCTGGCTTAATGCCTCAGAACTTTGGTGTCGTTGGTCTCAGACACCACTTTGCCATCCACTGTCTGGCGGGTGGTGGTCTTTTGGATGGTTTGCAAAAAATATGGAACGCTTCACGAATTTGCGTGTCATCCTTGCTCAGGGGCCACGTTAATCTTCTCTGTATCGTTCCAATTTTAGTATATGTGCTGCTGAAGCGAGCACAATTTTTATATTTTTTATAGAGACAAGGTTTCACCATGTTGGCCAGGCTGGAACTCCTAACCTCAGGTGATCTGCCTGCCTCAGCCTCCCAAAGTGCTGGGATTACAGGTGTGAGCCACCATGCCTGGCCAGAATTTTTAATTTTAATTTAAATAGCTACATGTGCTAATAGCCTTCATATTGACCAGCACAGATCTAGATATTCAGGCTTAGCTTTGTGTCAGTTCATTGTCTTTAGGAAGTTATAGAATTTAGTAACAGCTATACATTTATTGAGTGGCTACTATATGCAACTCACCAAAAACAGAAGAAAAATACAGCCTCAGCCCTCAAGAACTATACCGCCTAGAAGGGGAGAGAAGCAAGTAGATCAGTCATGCTACATGAGGTCAGGTACAGTGGCTCATGCCTGTAACCCCAGCACTTTGGGAGACCAAGGCAGGAGGATTCCTTGAACTTGAGACCAGCCTGGGCAACACAGTGAGACCCCATCTCTACGAAAACATTTTTTTAAAATTAGCCAGATGTGGTGGCACATGCCTGTGTTTCCTAGCTACTCGAGAGGCTGAGGTGGGAGACTTGCTTGAGCCTGGGAGGTTGAGGCTGCAGTGACCTGGGACCACACCATTGCATTCCAGCCTGAGAACAGAGCAAGACCCTGACACACAGACACACACACACACACACACACCACACACACAATAGAGTGGTTTCCACAGAAGGAAGCTAAGCAGTTTAGGAAAGTATGTGGAAAAGACAAGTTGTTTTGGATACAGAGTCCTTGAGCCAACATGTAGTGAGAAATAAGACCAGTTGGGGTGGGCCTTCCAGTCTGTGGTCCAGAATTTTCATTCAGTGGAAAACACAGCTGTGAGTCACTCACACATTCAATGGAATGACAGTAAAAATGCCCATTTGTGTAAGGGGCAGAAGAGACTGGAAGTTAGGGAGGCAAAAAACAGGCTGTTGTGTAGGTGACGTGGGGTCTATGTTAGGGCTGCCATAACAAAGCACTATTGGGATGGCTTCAACAACATAACTTCTTTTTTTTTTTTTGGAGACAGGGTCTGGCTCTGTTGCCCAGGCTGGATTGCAGTTGCTCAATCTTGACTCATTGCAGCCTTAACCCCTGGGCTCAAGCAATCCTCTGGCCTCAGCATCCTGAGTAGCTAGAACTACAGGTGTGCGCCACTACACCTGGCTAATTTTTTTTTTTAATAGCCCAAACTGTCATTTTTTCTTTTTCTTTCTTTTTTTTTTTTGGAATAGAGTCTCACTCTGATGCCCAGGCTGGAGTGCAGTGGCACGATCTCAGCTCACTGCAGCCTCTGCCTCTAGGGTTCAAGCACTTCTCCTGCCTCAGCCTCCCAAGTAGCTGGGGTAATAAGTGTGTGCTACCACATCCAGCTAATTTTTGTATTTTTAGTAGAGATGGGGTTTCACCATGTTGGTCAGGCTGGTCTCAAACTCCTGATCTCAAGTGATCCACCCGTCTCGGCCTCCCAAAGTGTTGGGATTACAGGCACGAGCCACCGCACCTGGCCTTTTTCTTTTTTTTTTTTTTTTTTAATCAAGGATCTATTTTTTTGTAGAGATGGGGTCTCACTATGTTGCCCAGGCTGGTCTAGAACTCCTGAACTCAAGCAATCCACCTGCCTTGGCCTCCCAAAGTGCTGGGATTATAGGCGTGAGCCACTGTGCCAGACCAGAAATTTATTTTCTCATAGTTCTGGAGGCTAAAGGTCTGAGATTGAGATCAAGGTGTCAGCAGGATTTTTTGTTTGTTTGTTTGTTTGTTTGTTTTTGGTGGTGGTGGTTGTTTTGAGACAGAGTCTCACTCTGTTGCCCAGGCTGGAGTGCAGTGGAGCAATCTTGGATCACTGCAACCTCCGCCTTCCAGGTTCAAGTGATTCTCCTACCTCAGCCTCCTGAGTAGCTGGGATTACAACCATGCAACACCATGCCCAGCTAATTTTTGTATTTTTAGTAGAGATGGAGTTTTACCATGTTGGCCAGGCTGGTCTTGAACTCTTGACCTCAAGTGATCTGCCAGCCTCAGCCTCCCAAAATGCTGAGATTACAGATGTGAGCCATCGTGCCTGGCCTTGTTTTTTAGCTTTTTGTTTTTTGGTAGAGACGAGGTCTTGCTATATTGCCCAGGCTGGTGTCGAACTCCTGGACTCAAGTGATCCTCCTGCCTCCTGATGTGCTGTGGTTACAGGCATGAGCCACCACGCCAGGCTGGATTGGTTTCTTCTGAGGCCTCTCTCCTTGCCTTGTAAATGACCATCTTCTCCCTTCATCTTCCCATGGTCTTCCCTCCATGCATGTATCTCTGCCCTCATCTCTTCTTATAAGGAAAACAGTCAAACTGGATTAGGGCCCACCCCAGTGACCTCATTTTAACTCAGTTACCTCTTTAAAGATTCAATCTCCAGGCTGGGTGTGGTGGCTCACACCTGTAATCCCAGCACTGTGGGAGGCCAAGGCAGCCGTATCGCCTGAGGTCAGGAATTCGAGACCAGCCTGGCCAACATGGTAAAACCCCGTCTCTACTAAAAATACAAAAATTAGCTGGGCATGATGGCAGGCATTTGTAATCTCAGCTACTCGGGAGGCTAAGGCAGGAGAATTGCTTGAACCCAGGAAGCGGAGGTTGCAGTGAGCCGAGATGGTGCCATTGCACTCCAGTCTGGGCAACAAGAGGGAAACTTCATCTCAAAAAAAAAAAAAAAGAGGCCGGGCACGGTAGCTCACGCCTGTAATCCCAGCACTTTGGGAGGCCAAGGCGGGCGCATCACGAGGTCAGGAGATCGAGACCATCCTGGCTAACACGATGAAACCCCGTCTCTACTAAAAATAAAAAAATTAGCCGGGCGTGGGGGCAGGTGCCTGTAGTCCCAGCTACTCGGGAGGCTGAGACAGGAGAATGGCATGAACCCAGGAGGCGGAGCTTGCAGTGAGCTGAGATCAGGCCGCTGCACTCCAGTCTGGGCGACACAGCGAGACTCCATCTCAAAAAAAAAAAAAAAAAAAAAAAAAAAAAAAAAAAAAGAACTGGTGAAGGGGGAAAGTAGACTTTTAATTTAATTTTTATTTTTTTATTTTTTTTGAGACAGTCTCGCTTTGTCACCCAGGCTTGAGTGCAGTGGCACGATCATGGCCCACTGCAACCTCCGCCTCCCGGGTTCAAGCGATTCTCCTGCCTCAGCTTCCCAAGTAGCTGGGATTACAGGTGCCTGCCACCATGGCTGGCTAATTTTTGTATTTTTAGTGGAGACAGGGTTTCACCACGTTGACCAGGCTGGTCTCGAACCCCTGACCTCAAATGATCCACCCACCTCGGCCTCCCAAAGTGCTAGGATTACAGGCGTGAGCCACCGTGCTGGGCTGACTTTTATTTTTAGATATTATTTGAATTTCATGACAAATTATGTAATTTCCATGATTGTCAATAAAAAAAAGAAAAAAGAAAACACTGGTGATTTTCCGTAACTAAGTGGATTCAATGAAACTAAACTTCTATTTAGTGTGTCCTTGCTAATATTTTCCTTTAAAAAGTCACAGTGCTACAAAACTGTCACCAGCTGCTGCTTATTAGGAATGTGGTTAGCAGATGTGGGTTTTCATAGTCATGCTGTATGAGATCGTTAGTCCATTTTTGCGGGTTTCAGATGGTTAGTGATTTATCTTGGTGGGATGAATTAAAAATGTGCTTGCATCAGCTAAAGGACATATGCACCTTTCTCTCTTTCGTGACATGTTTGTGCTGGAGTGAAAATATATTGCAGGATATTTCTACTGGAAGGTAAAGTAGTACTATTCATTGAAAAGGATAACTGATCCTGCTGCCTTCTTAGTGGGGAAGAGTTATGCATAGATAATTTTTCAAAGCTGGATGTTGGATCAGTTATTTTATAAGCTTATTTCTCCCTTTGGCTTCTTCCTTAGTAGTAATTGAGTGGCTCCTGCTTTTGTTCCTCTGGCATCAGGCCACCTTTGTGGCAGTGACCTTCAGGCTTGCTAAGGGCTGCAATTTTGCTTGAGGCCCTCCTTCCTTATGAAATTACACAACACTCAAACGTTGGAACCAGCCCCAGATCCACTAATTCTTTTCCTTTGACGGACTCTTGGCAATCTATACTGTCTTTCAGCCAAAGTGTAGCTTTATACAAGATCTGTTTGTCACCGAAATTAATTTGGCCATTTGCCCTTTAAGCATGGCATCAAATGGTGTTATGGCATACTCATTCCTAGATAAAGTATAGACTAGCAGCTGGAGAGTTTCTTTTTTTTTTTCTTCCTTCCTTCCTTCCTCTTTCTTCTTTTCCCTCCCTTCCTTCTTTCCTTCCTTCCCTCCCTCCTTTCTTGCTCTCTCTTCTCTTCCCTCCCTCCCTCCCTGCCTGCCTGCCTCCCTTCCTCTCTCTTCCCTCCCTCCCTCCTTCCCTCCCTTCCTTCCTTCCTTCCTTCCTTCTTTTTGAGACAGGGTCTCACTGTGTCACCCAGGCTGGAGTGCAGTGGTCTGATCACAGCCCACTACAGCCTTGAACTCCTGGGCTCAAGTGATCCTCCCACCTTAGGCTACCTAGTAGCTAGGACTACAGGTGCCCACCACCACACCCAGTTAGTTTTTGTATTTTTTATAGAGATGGGGTTTTGCCACATTGCCCAGTCTGGGCTCAAGTGATCCTCCTGCCTCGGCCTCCCAAAATGCTAGGATTATAGGCTTGAGCCACTGTGCCCAGCCAAGAGTTTCTATCAAAGGTTTTATTGTTGGTGCTGCTGAAAGTCAACTGGTAATAACAGCAATGGGTACTCATTTATTTATTTATTTATTTATTTGAGATGGAGTCTTGCTCTGTCCCCCAGGCTGGAGTGCAGTAGCACGATCTCGGCTCACTGCAACCTCCGCCTCCCAGGTTCAAGCAATTCTCCTGCCTAAGCCTTCTGAGTAGCTGGGACTACAGGTGCATGCCACCATGCCCAGCTAATTTTTTTGTGTGTTTTTAGTAGAAGTGGGGTTTTTGTATTTTTAGTAGAGATGGGGTTTCACCGTGTTAGCCAGGATAGTCTCGATCTCCTGACCTCATGATCAGCCCGCCTCAGCCTCCCAAAGTACTGGGATTGCAGGTGTGAACCACTGTGTCCAGCCTTTATTTTTTATTTATTTTTATTTTTATTTTGTTATTTACTTTTTGAGATGGAGTCTCACTCTTTCGCCAGGCTGGAGTGCAGTGGCGCAATCTCGGCTCACTGCAACCTCTAACTCCCTGGTTCAAGCGATTCTCCTGCCTCAGCCTCCCGAGTAGCTGGGATTATAGGCATGCACCACCACGCCCAGCTAATTTTTGTATTTTTAGTAGAAACGGGGTTTCACCATGTTGGCCAGGATGGTCTCGATCTCCTGACCTTGTGATCCACCCGCCTTGGCCTCCCAAAGTGCGGGATTACAGGCGTGAGCCACCGTGCCCGGCCCTTTCATTTATTTTTTGAGACAGAGTCTCACTCTGTTGCCCAGGCTGGAGTGCAATGGCGTGATCTCAGCTCACTATAACCTCTGCCTCCTCAGTTCAAGCGATTCTCGTCCCTCAGCCTCCTGAGTAGCTGGGATTATAGGCATGCACCCCTACACCAGGCTAATTTTTGTATTTTTAGTAGAGACAAGGTTTCATCATGTTGGCCAGGCTGGTCACAAACTCCTGGCCTCAAGCGATCTGCCTGCCTCGGCCTCCCAAAGTGCTGGGATTACAGGTGTGAGCCACTGTGCCTGGCCGCCATTTCCTTTTTTTAGAGGTAAAGTAACATGACTCTTCAAAGAGTGATCATAGCTTGTCTCACTGTCCTTAAGAAACTGTGGAAACAGATGTGCGCTCTTTTTATTTCAGATTTCATTATCCACAGTAAGTAGATTTCCACTGACTCCTTGAGATTTCCTAGATGGTAATTTTCACTCTGCAAGGAACCAATAACCTTCAGAGGAATTATTTGAAAGGACTATAGCGCAGAAGGCACTGAATCTCAATCAATCATATGTTTAATGAGTTCCTTCTCTGCAAGGTAATCTTTTTGGAATAGTGGGGAATAAATATAAGTTGATGGGTGGTCCCTGCCCTCCTGTAGTTTATAATCTACTTGGCCAAACAAGCCAGGAACAGAATTAAATTGTTCAAAGGAAAATTCCCAATGAACTGAGGAGTCAGGCAAAGCTGAAATGAAAGCTTGCTAGGTGGTAAGGGAATTCGGCCGGAGGAGGCAGGAGGTGTCTGGAAAGAAGGACTTAGACAACGTGCAAGACATCATTGGGACACATTGACTGAATGAGTTGGGCTCATCTGAAGGTAGTGATGAAAGGCAATGTTGAAAAGTTCATTTCGGTTCTGATGGAAGGCCTTGCAGATACAGCTTGACAGTTGGGGGATTTTTTTTTTTATGGACATATTTAAAAATAATCTTTTTTTTTTTGAGATGGAGTCTTGCTCTGTCGCCCAGGCTGGAGTGCAGTGGCACGATCTCGGCTCACTGCAACCGCCACCTCCCGGGTTCAAGTGATTCTCCTGCCTCAGCCTCCTGAGTAGCTGGGACTACAAGTGCATGTCACCACGCCCAGCTAATTTTTGTATTTTTAGTAGAGATGGGGTTTCACCATGTTGCCCAGGATGGTCTGGATCTCCTGACCTCGTGATCCCCCCGCCTCGGCCTCCCAAAGCTCTGGGATTACAGGCATGAGCCATCGTGTCCAGCCTGAAAATAATCTTTAAAGGAAAAATTATCAAGTAATCCCAATACCAATCTATCTCCATTAGCTACTTCCAGGGTTAAATATTTTGTTATATAACTTGCTGTCTTATGTAAGTGCCCTCACTATTAGTTAGCAGATCTGTGACTTACTCCAACTCTATTGGCAAAAAGGTCTTGATAGTCTTGCAGAGAATTCCCAGCACTTCCCTTCTGCTAATAAAGGTGTCCTCAAGTGCCCAACTCCTGGGTAATTACAAATGCAAAAGTGTTAAAAATAGCACTCATACTCTAAGGAATCAGCTGCGAAACACTCTCTAATAAGCAGAAATTTCACATAACTCAGGCCTCTGGGGGCTCACGCCTCAGCTGGAGCAGAGCCAGAACGTCTGTGACCGCAGGTGCACTTGGGCACATTGGGACCTGCTGGAACAGCAAGCTGGCCTCTGCAGTTGATTTAGGAGAGGGCTGGAGGGTTGAGCTTTTGCTGACATTTGCAGCTTGGAAAATCCGACTCCACTAATCGCAAAGAGGATTCTGCTGTAATGATTTTTTTTTTGGTAAGATACTTTTCTCATTTTGAATTCTTTCTTCATTTGGGCTCTGGACACTTCCCAGCCTCTACATTTATTATTTTAACTTCTGTTACAGGAGGCTCTTCAGAAGTTTCTGCCTGCACATGAACATGCATTCACAGAGTGGTGCACGGCCACGGTTTACGAGCCTCAACGTGCACTTCATGAGCAAGCAAGTTTACAGCCCCTTTTACAGGAATTGGTGCACATTCCCTCTGCTTGCCCCTGTCCCTGCCCACATGAAAACACAGGGATTTTTTGCTACTACTGCTGAAGAAAAGTTAGAGGACACCTTGACCTCATGATTTTGCTGAGCACTTGCTTTCTTAACAGTGTGCTTTCTGGACCCTTAGTTTATTTTTTATTTTTTTAATTTTTTTTTTTTTTGAGACAAACTCTTGCTCTGTCGCCCAGGCTGTAGTGCAGCGGTGCGATCTCGGCTCACTGCAACCTTTGCCTCCTGGGTTCAAGAGATTCTTGTGCCTCATTCTCCTGAGTAGCTGAGATAGGGGTGTGTACCACCACACCTGGCTAATTTTTTTTTTTTTTTTTTTTGTATTTTTAGTAGAGATGGGGTTTCACCATGTTGGTCAGGCTGGTCTTGAACTCCTGACCTCAAATGATCTGCTTGCCTCACCCTCCCAAAGTTTTGGGATTATAGGCATGAGCCACTGTGCCCAGCTTGGACCCTTATTTTTGAGGTCTGAAGGGTACTGTATAGTGAAAATAACCCTGGATCCAGAGGCTGGTAGTCCTGAGTTGTCTCTGCCTCCTTCCTATGGACTTTGGGCCATGGTCTTTGGTCTTTGGCTCTCTGGCCCTCAGTTTTCTTAGCTCTTCTAGTCCATGAAGCTGGAGGAGGTGGGTGGGTTGTATCATTCATGTCTGAATAAAAGCCACTGCAGGCTCTGCAATGTGCACAGCAGTGGCTCATGGCCTTTGGTCAGGGAAACTTCCTGCCAATTGGATGAATCACAGGCTTCAAAAAAATACCTTAGAGACCAAATTTTGCATACAATTTTTGGGAATGCCCACGTACACTTGCCCCAACAAAAGGCCATGGCCTCCAGGCTAAGAAAGTCAGATCTGCGGCCAGGCACGGTGGCTCACGCCTGTAATCCCAGCACTTTGGGAGGCCGAGGCGGGTGGATCATGAGGTCAGGAGTTCAAGAACAGCCTGACCAACATGGTGAAACCCCACCTTTACTAAAATACAAAAATTAGCTGGTGTGATGGCACGCGCCTGTAATCCCAGCTACTCGGGAGGCTGAGGCAGGAGAATTGCTTGAAACTAGGAGGTGGAGGTTGCAGTGAGCTGAAATCAAGCCACTGCACTCCAGCCTGGGTGACAGAATGAGACTCCATCTCAAAAAAAAAAAAAAAAAAAGATCTATAAAGTCAAGTTCAAACTCCTCGATATTTTGTTATGCTTTTCAGCTGGGCGTGGTGGCTCATGCCTGTAATCCCAGCACTTTGGGAGGCCGAGGCGTGCAGATCACCTGAGGTCGGGAGTTCAAGACCAGCCTGGCCAACATGGAGAAACCTTGTCTCTACTAAAAAATACAAAATTAGCCAGGCGTGGTGGCACATGCCTATAATCCCAGCTACTCGGGAGTCTGAGGCAGGAGAATCGTTTGAACCTGGGAGGCAGAGGTTGCAGTGAGCCGAGATCGCGCCATTGCACTCCAGCCTGGGCAAAAAGAGTGAAACTCTTGTCTCAGAAAAAAAAAAAAGATGCTTTTCACACTCATATCCTCCCATTTCCACTGACCCTATGCTCTGTTCACATTGGAATTCTAGCATCTTCCTAAGTAACCATCTATGATGTTAATTTTGTGTCAACTTGACTGGGCTAAGGGATCCCCAGGTAACTAGTAAAACATAACCTCTGGGTATACCTGTGTGGGTGTTTCAGGAAGAGATTAGCATTTCCACGGTAGACTCTAAAGAAGATCACCCTCACCAATGTGGGCAGGCAGCATCCAGTCAGTTGAGGGCCTGAGCAAAACAAAGGGCAGAGGTAGGGGGAATTCATTCTCTGCCTGAGCTGGGACATCCATCTTCTCCTGCCCTCAGACTTTGGTGAACCTGGCTCTCGGGCCTTGGCAGTGGGATGGTGACTTACATCATTGTCCCCCCACCCCAACTCCCACCCTCACCCCCTTCTCAGACTTTCTGTTTTGAGACAGGGTCTTGCTTTGTCACCCGGGCTGGAGTACACTGGTGCGATCTCAGCTCACTGCAACCTCCACCTCCTGGGTTCAAGCAATTCTGCCTCAGCCTCCCGAGTAGCTGGAATTATAAGGGCCCACCACCATGCCTGGCTAATGTTTGTATTCTTAGTAGAGACGGGGGTTTCACCACATTGGCCAGGCTGGACTCGAACTCCTGACCTCAAGTGATCTGCCTGCCTCGGTCTCCCAAAGTGCTGGGATTACAAGCGTGAGTCACCGCGTGTGGCTCAGACTTTTTTTTTTTTTTTTGGAGATGGAGTTTTGCTCTTGTTGCCCAGGCTGGAGTGCAGTGGTGCAATCTTGGCTCACTGCAACCTCTGCCTCCCGGATTCAAGCGATTCTCCTGCCTCAGCCTCCTGAGTAGCTGGGATTGCAGGCGCCTGCCACCACACCTGGCTAATTTTTTGTATTTTTAGTAGAGACGGGGTTTCACCATGTTGGCCAGACTGGTCTATAACTCTTGACCCCAGGTGATCCACCGCCTTGGCCTCCCAAAGTGCTGGGATTACAGGTGTAAGCCACTGCACCCGGCCCAGACTTTCTTTTTCTTTCTTTCTTTCTTTCTTTTTTTTTTTTTTTTTTTGAGGCAGAGTTTTGCTCTTGTTGCCCAGGCTGGAGTGCAATGGTGCCATCTCAGCTCACCGCAATCTCTGCCTCCCAGGTTCAAGCAATTCTCCTGCCTCAGCCTCCCAAGTAGCTGGGATTACAGGCATGTGCCACCACGCCCGGCTAATTTTTTGTATTTTTAGTAGAGATGGGGTTTCTCCATGTTGGTCAGGCTTGTCTCAAACTCGTGACCTCAGGTGATCCGCCCACCTCAGCCTCTCAAAGTGCTGGGATTAAAGGCTTGAGCCACCGCGCCCGGCCCAGACTTTCAATCTCAGGTTTATACCACTGATTCTGGGTCTCAGGCCTTTGGGCTTGGATTGGAAGTGCACCACCAACTTTCCTGGGCCTGCAGTTTGCAGATGGCAGATCGTGGGACTTCTCAGCATCCATAATCTCGTGGCCAGTCCCTTGTAATAATAATAAATTTATATATCTCTATATATCCTATTGGTTGGTTTCTCTGAAGAACCCTAAGACACCATCATTCTGCAAATATCCTTGAGGCCTGCCAATTGTGGCTTCAGGGTTTAAGAAGACATGGTTCCCTCTTGAATTACAGGCAAGTAAACGAGATTACAAAACATTGACAAAGGCTTGGATCATGCTGTTGGACCTTTGCTTGAGCTGTTCACCGTCCGTTGTTACCTCTGTGAAGCTGACCCCAGGCCTAACCAAATGTTCCTTTTATGCTGTTCTGGGGACGTCTTCTGCATGTCACTTAACCACATAGTATCACACCTAGTTGGTTGGTTCTGCATTTTCCTTCCCCACTAGACCGCAAACTCTCAGCTGTTGTTGGTACTATTGAGCTTAAGTACAGGGCCTCAAAAGGAGCCGGAGTACAGGGCTAAGCGCTCAGTACACAGGGTACGAACCAATCAATGCAAGAATGAACGTGCCACCGGGTCTTGCAGGCTTGAGAAGTGTTTCTCCAAGCTGATTTTGCTTTCCGTGCCCGGGCAGCTCCCGTGAATTGCACGGTAGAGGTCAGGAGTTTCTGGGGGGTCCGTGGGGAGCCAATGGAAGGATGAGGAGAAATGCAGTCCCACCGCATTCGGGTTGCCCACGTCCGGCGAGAGGCGAGTGATCGGACAACTTCTGCACCTCCCGGAAGCGGCTGCGCCGGCCCCGCCCCTCCAGAGGCAGGCGTGGCCTCATGAATAATGAATCGTGCGGGGGAGGGGCCGGGCCCGCCCCTCCGGGCGGGAAGAGGGAAGCGCCGAGGCTGCCTGACTGGAATGAGGGTAGCTGCGGCGACTGCGGCGGCTGGAGCGGGGCCGGCCATGGCGGTGTGGACGCGGGCCACCAAAGCGGGGCTGGTGGAGCTGCTCCTGAGGGAGCGCTGGGTCCGAGTGGTGGCCGAGCTGAGCGGGGAGAGCCTGAGCCTGACGGGCGACGCCGCCGCGGCCGAGCTGGAGCCCGCTCTGGGACCCGCGGCCGCCGCCTTCAACGGCCTCCCAAACGGCGGCGGCGCGGGCGACTCGCTGCCCGGGAGCCCAAGCCGCGGCCTGGGGCCCCCGAGCCCGCCGGCGCCGCCTCGGGGCCCCGCGGGTGAGGCGGGCGCGTCGCCGCCCGTGCGCCGGGTGCGGGTGGTGAAGCAAGAGGCGGGCGGCCTGGGCATCAGCATCAAGGGCGGCCGCGAGAACCGGATGCCGATCCTCATCTCCAAGATCTTCCCCGGGCTGGCTGCCGACCAGAGCCGGGCGCTGCGGCTGGGCGACGCCATCCTGTCGGTGAACGGCACCGACCTGCGCCAGGCCACCCACGACCAGGCCGTGCAGGCGCTGAAGCGCGCGGGCAAGGAGGTGCTGCTGGAGGGTGAGCGGGGCCGGGCGGGAGGGTGGGCAGGCCGCGGCGGCCTGGGCTCGCGGGAGCTCACTTTGTTCCTGCCCCGCCGGCGGGGCGAGCCGGTTCTCTCCCCGTCTCTCTCCAAACCCGGGTTTCTGGAGCTTTCAGTGTGGAAAAACGGATGCTTCTTGCAGGAAAAGTTGGGCAGCCGCCGAAGTGTGGCTTGCAGCCCCTAGGGAAGACTCGGCTGAGATTGAGTAAAAAGCAGCTGCCTATGAAGCCCCACCTCGGCCCGATAAGCTGACACTAAGAACTTGAGGGAGAGCGAACGGCTCGAGTGGGTCTGTCTCCGTTTGCCCGCTGAGAAGTGCCGGGTTGGCGCTTAACTCACTCACCTCTGGCTCCTCGGGGCGGGCGGGTCTATTAAAAAAAAAAAAAGGCCATCTTCACCGATGCCAGCGGTATGCTCGGGCAAACCACCAAAGCGCTGGTTAATTTATGGGAATTTAACCCATCATTGGCTCTCAACAATAACCAAAGGAGATCATAGCATTTCATTGAAGCCAGAAAGCTGAAACAGCAAGTCTGTGTGGTTAACGAACCTTGTTTAACAGTGGAGGCTCACGTGTTTGAACATTTACTGCCAACTAGAGTTTTGCCCCTTTTGCAAGTCTGCTGCCAGCTTCCTACCACTCACAGGCGCGCTGCTTCAAGACTCTTGGGGTTTTTGTAAGAAACTTGAAATGGCAAATCACAAGATAGGTTTCAATAACCAGGATTATTCTTTATGTTAAGTTATATGTATGTGATCTGTAAGTTGGATCTTTCATGATGAATTTGAACTAAGGCAAAAATAAAATTCCTCTCCTCTAAGGACTCATGCATGTTGGAGGTGATAGAGTATTGTAAATTATAAACGAAAAGTCAGCTGCTTTCTTCAGAAATTTTTGAGCGGTCAGCTTTCTTTCACTGGTGATTATGGCTAGCTGTGTTGAAAAGAATATAAAAGAAGATGCTGTCCCTACTTGGTCTCTAGTTGGAGAAATGATAGAAAAATGCAAAACAACTTATAGGGAGGAAAGGAATGAAGTTGGTGATTACGTCGTGAAACTATACTTAAATGCCAAAGGAATGCAAAGTTAGAAAATAGTTAGTGGAGATGGAATTAGCCAGGGAGGACTTTTTCCCGAAGCTGAATCTTGAGCCAGGTCTCCAAGAAGTGATGGACATAGGCAGGCAGGGATGAGTCAGGAGGGTATTCCTGGCAGAGGAAGGACAGAAGGGAAGGGCTGGGGGCTGCTGGTGAAGAAGGACCAATCGTCAAACCGAGAGGCCAGAAGTCCAACTTGGCACAATGGATTTTCACTTTCTTATAAATCAGCTTGTGAATATTTGGAAAAATACTGATTTACCAGAAATGATTTCATGTACACCAGTTGTGAAGTTCCAGTGTCCCACCTTTATAATATCCTATTTATAAACCTTATTTATATTGCATGTCTAGGTGGGGCTAGACATTGCTCGGAAATTAGTGTTAATAGAAGGAGTAAAATTATAGATTGTGGTTTGGGTGTGTGTCCAAAAAAAACTGTTACTCTAAACGTGTACCTTGAAGTTGGTCTAGCTAAGCATTTGGTTATAAATTCTTACATCCAGAATATTGAATTTAGTACTATTTATGTAGTCCTCAGTTGTGATGGGCAGACAGTTGAACCTTGTACACCATATTTAGAAAAAAAACACAAAAAACCTTTTGGCCAGGCGTGGTGGCTCATGCCTATAATCCCAGCACTTTGGGAGGCCAAGGTGGGCAGATCACCTGAGGTCAGGAGAACATGACGAAACCTCGTCTCTACTAAAAATACGAAAATTAGCCAGGCGTGGTGGCAGATGCCTGTAATCCCAGCTCCTAGGGAGGCTGAGGCAGGGGAATCGTTTGAACCTCAGAGGTGGAGGCTGCAGTGAGCCAAGATCTCACCACTGCACTCCAGCATGGATGCCCAGCCTGGATGACAGAGCAAGACTCCATCTCAAAAACAAACAACCAACCTACTTTTTGTATAGGTATAGTTTGAACCTAGTATTCAGACCAGTAAAATGAAAACCTTGCAGTAAATGCTTCCCAGTCTTTATTGGGCTAAAATAGGCCACGTGTGCTTTTAGAAAGATGGCCGCATAATAACATGTTTATTGAATGCCTTTTTACCTAACATGCAGGTTCTACTTTATTTTCCCACTTTGTACAAGACAAGCAGTTTTTGTTCTTATAAGTAGTGAGGAAGTCAATATAGTAGATTTACGACATTGCATTTTCAAGCCACTGGGTGTAAAAATAAAATTACTCAAAATATGTAAAACCACTGAAAACAATGATTTAATTGAACCAGTCAAACATTATTTAAAATTGAGAGCTGGTGTCCCATCCAGGTAGGCCACTTTTAAAAGACAGATTTTAAGTTTAGTCTTTAAAGTTTTCAGGCTGTACCATGTTGTCCTTCCATTAGATGTCTGAAAACTTGAAAAACTGCCGTATCATCTCACAGTGATGCTTTTTTGTGGTGTGGGCAGGGAATTTCAGGCACACTTTTGCCAATCCCACACCAGGGAAAGCTATAGTCTTTGGTTGCCTGTGGTTAAGGAATTGAGTTAAAAGTTTCCTTTTTATCTCAGGGATTTGCAGGAGTTATTTATTCATTCATCAGATATTTACTTAACTCTTAACTCATGCCAGAGGCACTTGAAGATACCTGATTCCTGTCCTCAGGAAGTTTAGAGTTGAGATGTGGGGAAACGGAGAAGTAAATAAGTACAGCAGAGGGCTAAAAGTGCTGTTTTAATAGAAGTTTGCACAACCCAAAGGAGACAGAGGTCTATATAGGTCCATCATGGGAATCAGAGGTTGAGGATGCCCAGGTTGATGAAGCTTAAATTGAGCTTCCCCTTTAGAAGAGAGCTGCCACCAGTAAAGACACAGAAGTGCAAGACATTAAAAAGTTATTCTAGCCAGTAGGGTAGAGTAGAAGCAAGGACTTTGTGGTCAGATGTGGGTTTGTTTCTGGCTAGTGGTTTGTAACCCCTAGGCAAGTTACTTAATCTTGCTAAGTAAACCTTAGTTTCCTCATCTGTAAAGCCAGGATGATAATAACACCTCCCTCAAAGTTGTTAATTCATTTTGCAATTCACGTGTTGAGTACTTTTTAAGGGACTGGGAATACAGCAATGAACAGCACAGGTCTGAATGAGGAAGGTAGGACCGGGTCACGAAGGTATGCCACGAGTTAACAAAGACACTCTCAAAACAGGAAGGATGGCAAGTCGTTAAAATAACATCCAGGGCTCCATTTTTACCTGAAGAAGAATAGATGATAAGAATTATTTTAGGTGATTAGGTTAAGAATGAGTTTGCGCTGGTCCGAGTGCAGTGGTGTTTACAACTAATTGATCACAACTAGTTACAGATTATTTGTTCCTTCTCCACTCTCACTGCTTCACTTGACTAGCTTTAAAAAAAAAAAAAGAAAGAAAGAAAAGAAAAGAGAAAAAAAGAAAAACCAAGTGTGGTGGCTCATGCCTGTAATCCAGCACTTTGGGAGACCAAAGCAGGAAGATCATTTGAGGCTGAGTTCGAGACAAGCCTGGGCAACATAGCAAGACCCTATCTGTACAAAAACTTCAAAAAAAAAATAAATAAAACAATTAGCTGGGTGTAGTGGCGCAATTGTAGTCCCAGCTACTTGAGAGGCTGAGGTGGATCACATGACCCCAGGAGGTTGAGGCTGCAGGGAGCCATGATTGCACCACTGCATTTCAGCCTGGGTGAACAGAAACGCTGCCAATAAATAAATAAACAGAGTCTCGCTCTGTTGCTTAGCTGGAGTGCAGTAGAACAGTGTTTTGCTGTTCTCAACTGACTATTCGAGGATCCAATCAGTGCTCCTGGCTAGGTTAGTACACTGTGGTAACCAACTGGACAACAAATAATGCTGCTTGCTTGCGTCTTCCACTAAATAGTATAATAATGTCTTACATTTTAATCAGGATTTTAAAATTATGCATTTTATTTATTTTGAGACAGGGCCTCTCTCCGTTGCCCAAACTGGAGTGTAGTGGCGTGATCACAGTTCACTGCAGCCTCAACCTCTTGGGCTCAAGCAATCCTCCCACCTCAGCCTCCTAAGTAGCAGGACTACAGGTGTGCACCGCCATGCCGGCTAATTTTTTTTTTTTTTTTGAGACGGAGTCTTGCTCTGTCACACTACACTCTGTCGGAGTGCAATGGCGTGATCTCAGCTCACTGCAACCTCTGCCTCCCAGGTTCAAGTGATTCTCCTGCCTCAGCCTCCTGAGTAGCTGGGACTACAGGCGCATGCCACCATGCCCAGCTAATTTTTTTTTTGTATTTTTAGTAGAGACGGGGTTTCACCATCTTAACCAGGTTGGTCTTGATCTCCTGACCTTGTGATCCGCCCACCTCAGCCTCCCAAAGTGTTGGGATTACAGGTGTGAGCCACTGCACCCAGCCTGGCTAATGTTTTTATTTTTATTTTTTGTTTTTTGTAGAGACAGGGTCTCACTATGTTGCCCAGGCTGGTCTGGAGCTCCTGGGCTCAAGCAATCCTCCCGTCATAGCCTCTCACAGTGTTGGGATTATAGGCATGAGCCAATGCACCTGGCCTGTCTATATCTATATCTATATTTTCTCTTTGGATTTTTATTCAGTCCTCTGAGATAGGCTGTTTATATTTGTTGTATAAATGATTAAAACTGAGTTTCACCAAAGTTAAATGAGTTACTGAAGGTCTCAGAATTTCTCTTGATTTTTAGGGAAAATTTTTAATTTTTCATTTGGAGTAGAAGAAATACCTTACCTGGATTGTTTAAAGTTGGTAATGTCTGATCTTATAGATAAGGAATGAACACCCAGAGTTTAAGTGACATGATTAAGGTCACCTGACAAATTAGTTGGTGGAAGTTGTACTAAAACCCAGTCCAGTGCTTCCCCCCCTGGACGGGGCTACGTACAACTAATCAGTCATATCTTTAGCATCTCCTGTGTCTTGTTATGTTGTAGTGTGCTGTGAGAGATCAATGGGCAAAGTAAAATGAAGATGGTCCTTGGCATCAAATCATTAGAGAGAAACTAGGGAAAGAAAAGTACCCCATTGGCCGGGTGCGGTGGCTCACACCTGTAATCCCAGCACTTTGGGAGGCCGAGGCGGGCGGATCACAAGGTCAGGAGTTCGAGACCAGCCTGGCCAATATGGTGAAACCCCATCTCTACTAAAAATACAAAAATTAGTCAGGCGTGGAGGCGTGCACCTGTGATCCCAGCTACTCGGGAGGCTGAGGCAGGAGAATCACTTGAACCCAGGAGGCGGAGGTTGCAGATTGCACCACTGTACTCCATCCTGGGTGACAGCGAGACCCTGTCTTCAAAAAAGAAAAGAAAAGAAAAGAAAAACTACCCCATAGAAAATAGTTGCTAAAGTGTGTAAAACTCACTCTTCAAGAGTTCACTAAAGGGAATGATTAATTGGGGGATGAAAGAATTGAGTATGACTTCCTAGGGAAAGGAGACAGGCTTGAGGGACAGGCTACTTCTCTGTAGACTGAAGTCAGTTCAAGTTGAGGGGATGGCCTGAACAAAAGCCAAAATGAGCATGACATATGATACAAAGTGAGGGGAATGGCTAATTGGTATGGACTTGAGGGAAGAAAATAAAGTTGGGTAGATAGATTGAAGCCAGATTATGCAAGTTATTGAAAGCCAACCAGAGGAATTTAGACCATTTTCATTCTGTCAACATTTATTTATTTATTTAGTTTTATTTATTTATTTATTTTTAGACGAACTCTTGCTCTGTCACCCAGGCTGGAGAGCAGTGGCGCTATCTTGGCTCACTGCAACCTCCGCCTCCCGGGTTCAAGTGCTTCTCCTGCCTCAGCCTCCCGAGTAGCTGGGATCACAGGCACCTGCCACCGCACTGGGTTAATTTTTGTATTTTTATTAGAGTTGGAGTTTCACCATCTTGCCAGACTTGTCTCGAACTCCTGACCTCGTGATCCACCCACCTCGGCCTCCGAAAGTGCTGGGATTACAGGAATGAGCCACCACGCCCGGCCCCAACATTTATTAAGTACCTGCTGCAAAAGTGTTGTGGTAGATGCTGGGAATTCCAAATTGGGAGTAATCCTGCCCTTTTAGGCTAGTAAGGAACAGTTATTGCAGGTTGTGATACACGCTTTAATAGAGGTGAGAACACAGGGCACTGGAGGTAGGAGTGTAAAGGAGACAGCATGTCGAAGGTAAGAAAATGATAAGTAGCAGGTTTGTTGAGAGAAGTAAAGTGTGGTAAGGTACAGGAAGTGTGTGCCAGAAGAGCAGTCTGGAAAGGTGGGCAGAGGCCAGGTCATCGAGAGCCTTGTATGTAGTGCTAAGCAATTGTCTCTAAATGAGGTTTATATTTACTTTTTCAACTTGAAAAAAAGAAATTGAGCTTTATTAATATTTAATATATAGGTAACACTGGTTCTCTTAGTCTTTTAAGACAGTGCCATTACATACTCGATATACAAGCTGATGTCTTATGACTGTTGGAGTCTTCATAAGAGCAATTTCAGCAAAGTGACAGGAACAGAAGCTTCATAAAGCCAAGGAATTGACAGTGGTGACCTTACTAGTTTGGCTGCCGTTATCAGAATGCAACTTATTGCAGTTTACTTGAGCCTGGTTGAGTGGATTTATATTATCTGCATTTAATTACATTAATCTTCACAAAATGAACAAGTGGCTTAGAGATTTGCTCAAAGAAATAGTAGATTAAAGATAACTGTAACACTGCAAACAATAACAAAAAGGTAGAACTGACATTTCTCCTCCTGGTGGGAGCTCTTTGTCACATTTCAAGGTAATTACATCTGTCAAGGAGTCAGCCTAAAAAATGAAATTGTCAAGAAGACTATTTGAAATATGGATATATATACACATTATCATCGATAATGAATTTCACCTTAAGAATGTATTGTACTTTGAGTCATATAGTAGCTAATGATATAATGACTTCATCTGGGTTATGTTTATATCTTATATATTTTTCTGTATCTCAGTCTTTCTTGGTTTCTGTATTTTATATATGGTTTATAGTATATATGCATTAATAAATATTCATAGATTGAGGGCCATATACTCAAATTTTTACTGATGTACATGTGCTCTGAAAAAGTTTTAGGCCACAGGTTGCTGCCAAAGTGCTTTAAATGAGGGAAAATGTTTTAGAAAGTTGAGAGTGGCAGATGGAGTATAGGAGCTCCAGATACGAGGTAAGGGAAAGCAGTTAGGAGGCTATGTGACACCATAAGTATAGTGAGACTGGATAGGATAGTATGAAGCGGAGAAATAGTGAGATAGAAACAACAGGCCTAAATGTTTGAGGTCTTAAGAGAAAGAAATGGAGGCTAACTCCTGGATTTCTGACTTGAGAAGGTGGATAACTATGAAACTGAAATGAACAGAGGGCAAGCTAGTTTTCTGAGTGAAGATAAGTTTAGTTTGGGGCAAGTTGAATTTGAATTACCTGCGTGACATCTTGGTGGAAAAGGTCAGTAGCCGGCTGGATGTTTAGGACTGTAATCAAGAGAAATGTCAACTGAGATGAAGATTTACGAGATATCAGGGTAGAAGTGGTAATTGACGCGTGAGTGTGGATGAAATCATTGAGAGAGTAGGCCAGGTGTCGTGGCTCATGCCTGTAATCCCAGCACTTTGGGAGGCCGAGGCAGGCGGATCACGAGGTCAGGAGATCAAGACCAACCTGGCTAACGGGGTGAAACCCTGTCTCTACTAAAAATACAAAAAAATTAGCCGGGCGTGGTGGCGGGCGCTTGTAGTCCCAGCTACTCGGGAGGCTGAGGCAGGAGAATGGCATGAACCCAGGAGGTGGAGATTGCAGTGAGCCGAGATCACAGCACTGCACTCCAGCCTGGGCAACAGAGTGAGACTCCATCTCAAAAAAAAAAAAAAAAAAAAAACGGAGAGTAGTGCAAATTGAGAAGTAGAATCAGGATGGAATCCTGCAGAACCCCTACATTTAGAGCCAGGGTGAAGGAAGAAGAATCTGGAAAGGAATGGTCCAGGAGGTAAGAGGACAATCTGGAGAAAAGTGTGCAGTGGTAGTCAGACAGACAAGAATTTCGAGGAGGTGGGGGTGATCAGCATCTTCAGATATTACAGATGCGAAGAAAGTTGAGAGCTAAAAAGTCCATTAGGTTTGATCATTAGCATACAAGACCATTGGAGTCCTCATAAGAGCAGTTTCAGCAAAGTGACAGGAGCAGAAGGCAGTGAGTAGACTATGCTTTTTTTTTTTTTTTTTTTGAGACGGAGTCTCACTCTGTCGCCAGGCTGGAGTGCAGTGGCACGATCTTGGTTCACTGCAACCTCTGCGTCTTGGGTTCAAGCAATTCTCCTGCCTCAGCCTCCCAAGTAGCTGGGACTACAGGTGTGTGCCACCACATCCAGTTAATTTTTTTGTATTTTTAGTAGAGATGGGGTTTCACTATGTTGGCCAGGATGGTCTCAATCTCTTGACCTCGTGATCTGCCCGCCTCAGCCTCCTAAAGTGCTGGGATTACAGGTGTGGACCACCATGCCTGGTCTAGACTATGCTTTTAAAAAGTTTCTCAGCAAAATGAAAGAGGCAAAGGCGGCTAGGCATAGTGGCTCACACCTGTAATCCAAGCACTTTGGGAGGCTGAGGTGGGAGGATCACTTGAGGCCAGGAGTTTCAGACCAGCCTGGGCAACATGGCAAGACCCCATCTCTACAGAAAATGCAAAAATTAGCTGGGTGTGGTGGCATGCACCTGTAGTCCCAGCTACTCAGAGGCTGAGGTGGGAGGATTCTTGAGCCCAGGAGGTCGAGGCTACAGTGGTGATTGTGCCACTGTACTCCAGCCTGGACAACAGAGCAAGATCCTGTCTCAAAAAAAAAAAAAAAAAAAAAGCAAAGCCAGTAAGTAAAGTTGAATGAAATGTCCAAGAAAGGTTTTATTTACTGGTGTTTTTTTATTTTGTTTTGTTTTTGAGACAGAGTCTCACTCTGTTGCCCAGGCTGGAGTGCAGTGGTGCGATCTCAGCTCACTGCAAGCTCCGCCTACCGGGTTCACGCCATTCTGCTGCCTCAGCCTCCCAAGTAGCTGGGACTACAGGCGCCCGCCACCATGCCCGGCCAATTTTTTGTATTTTTTAGTAGAGATGGGGTTTCACTGTGTTAGCCAGGATAGTCTCAATCTCCTGACCTCGTGATCTGCCTGCCTCAGCCTCCCAAAGTGCTGGGATTACAGGCATGAGCCACCGCACCTGGCCTTGTTTTGTTTTAAATGGGAAAATAATTGGGACAGATTTGTATAGCAAGAGAAAAGCCCAACCAACAGAAAGAGTGAGAGGTTGAAGAGATAGAAGAGGTGGGAAACTGATGCAATTCATTTTTGATCCAGGAAGTGATGTGATGGGAACAGAATTTTGGGTTGGCAGCAGTGGAAGCACTGGATGCAGTGCAAAGAGGAAAGACCGAAGGTGGGAAAAACAGCAGCTGTTGTAGTGAAAAGTAATCCAAGCCAGAGGTGATCACCTTTGGAGCCGGTGGTGGTAGTGGCAGTGGGAATAGAGAGGAGGATTCAATTCAAGAGATACTTTAAAGCAGTTGATGCTTGTCAGGGGACATAGCAGAGTCCACTGAGAAGTTTTTCCTACCTAGATAGTCTCCTTCCAACTGCCTGTGCATCCAAAAATTTGATACTTACAGAGAATCTTCTGCAGTGAGTTTATCAGTGGAAAAGTGAAATAATTTGGAGAGTGTTACCCTCATACTGTTCAGCTTTGTTGTAAAGCACTTAAGCCATGTAACTGTCTGCTGTCTCTGGGGTTTGCGAAGAAAAATTTTAGTTTATAAACAGTATACTGTATCTGGTCACATGGAATGAGAACATATTCTTCCTTTAAAGGTTCTTTTTTCTAGATTAGAGAAAAGAGCTTTTGAATTCCTTTGGAGAAATGATGGTATGGTCAGTTATGTTTAATATTTTGTGCCTGGAGAAATACAATTGATTTGGTTACTTTATTTAAGTGTCTTTCTGAGGAAAATGCACTGATTCCTTAATAAAATTTGTGTTAGATTTTAGTGTAAAAACAAAACTCGTGAAATAATTTTATATATGAACAAAGTGCTAGTGATTATGGTGTCATAGATTTGCCTTTTAAAATAATAAAAGAAATATAAAATTCAAACTTGGCTTTATTTCTGACCCCCAAGACATTGCTAGAATGCTATAATTAGTTGAGAATATGTGAAATGCAATTTTCTTTTTGCTTTGGTTTTTCTACATTTTTCTTTTTGCTGTGTTCGGACCCTCTTGCTTTAAAATTTGTAAGTTATCTTGAATGTGTTATGGAAAGTAAACTTAATGAAATAGATGAGAAAGTTGAGCAGTGTATTTTTGAATTTAATCTGTCATGCATGTAAAATGTTACACCTAGGCAGGTGTGGTTGGTCATTCCTGTAATCTCAGCACTTTGGAAGGCAGAGGCAGTAGGATCACTTGAGGCCAGGAGTTCAAGATCATCCTGGTCAACCTAGTGAGACCCCATCTGTATTTTAAAAATGAAAAAAAAAAAAGTTACACCTTACACTTAGAAAAATTGGAAGCTTTAATTTTTCATTGAAAGAGACTCAGATGGTATAGACTTTTTTTTTTTTTTTTTTTTTTTTTTTTGAGACAGTGTCTTGCTCTGTTGCTCAGGCTGGAGTGCAGAGGCACCATCTCGGCTCACTGCAACCTCCGCCTCCTGGGTTCAAGAAATTCTCCTGCCTCGGCCTCCCAAGTAGCTTGGATTACTGGTGTGTGCCACCGTGCCTGGCTAATTTTTGTATTTTTAGTAGAGACAGGGTTTCTCCATGTTGGCCAGGCTGGTCTCAAACTCCTGACCTCAGGTGATCCGCCTGCCTCGGCCTCCCAAAGTGCTGGGATTACAGGTGTGAGCCACCATGTCCAGCCCAGACTTATTTATGGTAAGATGAATTGATCAACTAACAAAAATTTTAAAAAAGAAAGAAAATGCACATGCCTTATTCAAGGCTCTTTGGGTTTCAAAACACAGAAACCCATTTAAACTAGTTCAGATAAAAGGATGGAGATGTTATAAAGAACCAGACAGGTCTCGGGACTTCAGGAAGAGCTGCGCCTCAGAAATGTCACAAACCCAAGGCAGTGCTGAGGACAGTTGCTCTGTCTCCCATTTCTTGTCATTGCAGTTTCTCTGTTTCTCTCTGAGAATGTCTTTTGCAACAGCTTTATTCTAGTCCTTTTATGGTTTCAATTCTTACATTTAACTTCTTAATCTATGTAGAATTTATTTTGGCATATGGTATGCAGTAGAGGTTTAACTTTATTTGTTTTTCCAAATAGTTAACTGATTGCCTCAGTATTATTTGTCAAATAATCCTCTTGCATGCTTAGTCTGATAGCTTGCTGGTGGCTGCCTAGAGTGCCATATGTGGAAGGATTCAAGGCCATATCTGGGTTCAGCAGTAGCAAGTGCTATGCTTAATTAGTGATATCTGCAATGAGTGTGCCTGAGGATGGGGTGCAATATGCATGCTATACATCTGCCCCTCTTGGGATGAGATGACCTGTCCTTTTCTCATTGATTTTAAATATACCTTTTTGAATAGCACTTTTTATATTCTCTGCTCTGATTCTGGAGTTTCTATTGTATTCCATTTTAGTGTTTTGTAACATACCACACTGTATTTTGTAGCTGTAACATTTAATATCTGGTAATTCAAGTGGACTGTACCAGCCAAGAAAAATTTGAAAAGTAACAATAGACAATTGCCGGCTGGTATAGTATAGTTACTTATTTCCCCAGATAAATTTTGGAATGATTTTATCATTCTTAAATCCTCTGGGATTTTGATTAAAATTATATTAAATCCATAAATTAATTTGGAGAGAACTGATGTCTTTGTAATATCTCTTTCCCAGTCATTCCAGCCAAAAATACTGGGCCTTACTCATCCATGTTCCAATCATGTGGCTGAGGGGTACCAGATGTTCTATTTGGCCAGGCCTATATCAGGTCACCTCAGACCTGTACCCAGGGAATGGGGCAATTTTCCTAGAACCACATGGACTGAAAGTGGGGGTTTCTCAAAGGAGAATTAAGGTGATGTTAACAGAAGAAGGGGGAATGGATGCTAGGCAGGCATAAATAGCAGACATTCATTACATTGCTCTAAAACCATCAGAAGATAATATAGATTAAAGGAGAAACCACCATATTAAGAGATTTAGAAACATTATAGACAGCTGTAAAACAAAAGTCAGAATAATAAATTTGCTTAGGTACAGGTGAGCTTGTTGGAGCTTTTAAAAAATGCTTGACATGTCAAGTGAATAATAAATTATTTTCAGTATTTTATTGGTATTTTGAACATCACATTTCTATGAATTTCAAGCAAGTTTGTAACTGCATTGAGATCATATTTTTATAGGTAGAACAACAAAAGTATATAGAGCTCAACAAAAGTATATAGAGCTCAGGGGCAGCTTTTGAAGTCAGAGACGGAGAAAAATCTTTGTTTATCAAAATAGACGTATATGATTTATTTTTAATTTTTAAAAAGTATCTATTTGTTGTTATTATTTTTTTTTAGAGACAGGGTTTCACTCTGTTGCCCAGGTTGGAGTACAATGGCATGATCATTGCTTACTGCAGCCCTGAACTCTTGGGCTCAGGTGATCCTCTTGCCTTAACCTCTGGAGTAGTTGGGATTACAGGCATGAACTAATTACTGTTCCTGGTTTGCATTTTTTTTTTTTTTTAGTAAGAATTATTTTGGTTGCAGAAACCCAAAACCAACTAATTTAAGCAGAAGTGGAATGTATTGCCTTATGTAACTCCTGAGACCGGGGGTGGATCTAGGTTTAGGTTCAGTGGGATCCAAAGGCTCAAATTATCTTGGCTGCAACATCTCCTGCTGTGGAGGGTCTAATTCTGTATAGTCAGCTAAGATGGTGCCTGCAGCTCTAGGAACATATTGCCTTAACTTAATAACTAACCCCTGTAAGAAAAACTGGAGGGTTCTTTTACCACTCACATTATCAGTTTGGAGATAGGAAGGACTCCAATAGTTCTGCTTTGCCAGTTCCTCGGACCTATCACTATTACCAAAATGATGGAGACTGCAATCTAGACCTGTGTCACGTGCCCATCCCTTGTGTATTGAGGTTGGCAGCCTCACCAGACTATAAAATCTGGAGTGGGGTGGTTGCTAGGTTAACTTATGTACACTATAACAGGCTATAGGGCTTAAAATAATTTTGGCCGGGCATGTTGGCTCACACCTGTAATCCCAGCACTTTGGGAGGTCCAGGTGGAATCACTTCAGCCTAGTAGTTCAAGACCAGCCTGCACAACATGGCGAGACCCTGTCTCTACAAAACATGTAAAAAATTAGCCAGGTGAGGTGGCGAGTGCCTGTGGTCCCAGCTACTTGGGAGGCTGAGGTGGGAGGATCACTTGAGCTCGGGAGATTGAGGCTGCAGTGAGCCATGTTTGAGCCACTATACTCCAGCTTGGGCAATGGAGCAAGACCCTGTCTCAAAAAGAGAAAAAACAAAAGTGGCTAAGTTGTACATTTTTAAAAACAAAAGGAATCAAAATAGATAATAATGACACTTATGGAGAGCTTACTCTGCTAAGCTCTTTATGATCACAACTTTGTTTTTCTTTTCTTTTTCTTTTTTTTTTTTTTTTGAGATGGGGTTTGGCCCTGTCACCCAGGCTGGAGTGTAGTGGTGTGATCTCGGCTCACTGCAACCTCTGCCTCCTGGGTTCAAGCGATTCTCCTGCCTCAGCCTCCTGAGTAGCTGGGATTACAGACACGCGCTACCATGCCCGGCTAATTTTTGTATTTTTAGTAGAGATGGAGTTTCACCATATTGGTCAGGCTGGTCTCGAACTCCTGACCTTGTGATCTGCCCACCTTGGCCTCCCAAAGTCCTGGGATTACAGGCGTGAGCCACCGCACCTGGCCACAACTTATTCTTTTAACAGCCCTGTGAGTCAGGTGGCATCATCCCCATATAAAATATAAATAAATTGAGTCCTGGAAGATTAAACAGTCAGTGCAAGGTTATAGAATTTGTAGGTGATAGAGGCAAGATTAGTTACTCAGATTTATCAAACTACACAGCCTTTGATATTAACCATTATAATAGACTGCCTCTCTGGTGGATCAGTTTGGGTTAAGAAGCTAGCAAGTCTAAAGACAGGATTTATTGTTATGATTGGCTTAATTTTCAGGAAAATTGTGCTTTGGATTCTGTGTTGTTGCATCTATCTGGAGGTTATCCAGTTAATGTCTCTCAGTCTTTTCCTCATTTTTTTTTTTCATGCTGGACCTAAAGCTGTATGTAATTAATCAACTCATATTGAATAACTACACTCTGTTAGACACTCTGAGAGAAATAGAATATGTAAGCCCCAAAGATTTTACTTTTAAGAAGTACCCAAAATGGGTTTGTAAATACTAATAAACTGCACATAAGTGAATCCAAAGTATTTCATACATTATAAGTGGTAGACAAATGCTGAGAGAACTTGGAATAAGTGAGCAAGTAGTAGGAATGTATTTTGGGTCAAGTGAGAGAAGGGTGGGACATGGAATAGGTGTGGGTGGTGGGAAGGATGGAGGGCATGTTTAGAGGGGAAAGGCATGTCTAGAGAGCAAAGACTGGAACAAGCAGTGATGTTCAAACTTCAGCAAACAGATTTGATGAAATAGCCCATTTTCAAGGCTCTGTACCCCTTTTTAAAAATAGTTTAAATATTTTATTAGTAATATAACTGACTTCTGAAATATCTTGTAATAATTGTATTCATTATCTGCAAACTGTTTTGTAATGTAAAAATTAATTTTTCTTTTGTAATTATTCTAGCCAAACTTTTTTGTTACTGCTTTTACTTTTGATATATTACTATGTTATTTTACTTTTGGAAAACACCAGTTTTAACAAAGTAGCATTCTCCAAAGTATATTCATCTTTACAAGTAAATCTTTGCCCAAATGAAACAAAATCTGTTTTACTGAACACTAAATGTCTTTGATTTGCCTCATTTTGCTGTAATTGTTGGCCAGTAAAAGTATTTACATTGTTAGCTCTGTTTTCATTGCAGTAAGGGATGGCAACATTTTAGAAAACCACTAGTAGTGTAGATAATTTTTTTGAGTACTATGGATTCTGTATTGTCTCTTCAAAGATTATTAATTACATTCTAGGATAAAAATACATATTTTTTACAATGAACACAAAGTAATTGAAAAAATTAAACTGGCTCTGGGCAAATACAAATTCTGCTAAAAACAGCAATGAAAGACTAAAGTGAATTCTGGAAACCATTCTTCACCAGAGATGTTTTGATATTGATCTCTGTTGTCCTTTACAATGTAACAGAGTTGATTTTTTTTTTTTTTTTTTTTGGGGGGTAGGGGAACAGAGCCTCGCTCTGTCGCCTAGGCTGGAGTGCAGTGGCAATCTCAGCTCACTGCAACCTCCACCTCGCGGGTTCAAGCGATTCTCCTGCCTCAGCCTCCTGAGTAGCTGGGACTACAGTCCTACACCACCACGCCCAGCTAGTTTTTTGTACTTTTGGTAAGACAGGGTTTCGCCATGTCGCCCAGGCTGGTCTTGAACTCTTGAGCTCAGGCAATCCACCAGCCTCGGCCTCCCAAAGTGCTGGGATTACAGATGTGAGTCCTCATGCCTGGCCTATTTTTCACATGTGTATTTTTGACAAGAGAAATGTCTTCATTGCACGTTCTGCCTCTGCTTCTCTTTAAGGAGTTTGTGTGTGGTTGGTAGGAAGATGTAGTCCATTCTTATTCCTCTACCACTTACATGTTTCCTCCCATTATTCTCTTTATTTCTCATATCCTCTCCTACTTCTTCTGTGCTTGGGTCTGAAAAGAAATCTTTGAGATTGTTAAGACATCTCCAAACATCTGGATGTAGTTACAAAAATTACCTGATTTTTCTTGGGAAAAAATACAGCAAAACATTTCGGATGGCTGTTAACTTTGTGTGACCTTGGCAAAAAATAATTTCAGCATTATAAGCAGTATGTTTCTTACCTATTAAAAATAAGATCCCTTCCAGCTCATATTTTACAATTCTAAATATGAAATAGAGAATGAAGAGTTAATATGAACTGACTGTACGCAAATGCATGGATTGTCAGAGATTTAGAATATAATAATGTTTTTTTTTTTTTTTTTTTGAGACAGTTTCACTCTTGTTGCTCGGGCTGGAGTGCAATGGCACGATCTCGGCTCACTGCAACCTCTGCCTCCCAGGCTCAAGTGATTCTCCTGCCTCAGCCTCCCGAGTAGCTGGGATTACAGGCGCACGCCACCATGTCCAGCTAATTTTGTATTTTTAGTAGAGATGGGTTTCTCCGTGTTGGTTAGGTAGGTCTTGAACTCCTGACTTCAGGTGATTCACCCGCCTTAGCCTGCCAAAGTGCTGGGATTACAGGCGTGAGCCACCACGCCTGGCCTATAATAATGATTTTTAACACTAAAAATATTTTAGCTATAATTGAATCTTAGTTTGATGATTCAGATGGAACCTCAAGATTTACAATACCTTATTGTGAGCTTCATTTGTTGTGCTAAAGATGTGAAGTGCCAGATAAAATATTTTATGTTGTAGATTTGCAGATAAATCGGCTTTTGCTCTTCCACCTTTCATTTTAACTAGCAGCTAATCGCCTTCAAATCTACACAGGCAGCATTAATTAAAGCGATGTTGGCCTGGCGCAGTGGCTCACGCCTGTAGTCCCAGCTAGTTGGGAGGTTGAGGTGGGAGGATCACTTGAGCCTGGGAGGTGGACGCTTTGGTGAGCCATGATTGCACCACTGCACTCCAGGTCTGGACAACAGAGTGAAACACTGCCTCAAAAAAAAAAAAAAAAGGCGATCTTTTTCTCTTAAGCGCAGATGAATCACTTAGCAAAGAGAGAAATATTGAGCAATCTAGATTGCAGTTAATTTTGTCACTGATTATTGTGTACCTTGAGGTGTCTTCATTTGTTCTTTAGTGAATGGGCAAGACTCTCATAATGAAGATTTGCAATCTTAATGAAAATTGAAAAAAAAGGCCAAAGTTTAAGACTTAGATGCCAAATAATTCCTTCCACTTTTTAGTGTGAAAAATCAGGAGAAAGGGGGACTTTTAAAAAATGTTTTATTTTAGATCCATGCTATTACTGGGAAGACAGAGACTTTTTTTTTTTGAGACAGAATCTCCCTCTGTCGCCCAGGCTGGAGTGCAGTGGCACGATCTCAGCTCACCGCAACCTCCATCTCCCGGGTTCAAGCGATTCTCCTGCCGCAGCCTCTTGAGTAGCTAGGACTACAGATGCGTGCCACCACACCCAGCTAATTTTTTGTATTTTTAGTAGAGATGGGGTTTCACCGTGTTAGCCAGGATGGTCTCAATCTCCTGACCTCGTGATCCGCCTGCCTCGGCCTCCCAAAGGAGGGGGACATTTTTAACATAAATATACTTATTTGTGTTGGCCATTGTTGTCAAGCACATTTGCTTACAGTGAGTTTAGGAATTTAGATATTAGGCGTATTTTGACAAAATGGGGAATCAATTTCTTTTACAGAAATGTAATACCTATTTCTTAGCATCAGCACGCTAGTATGAAATTATTTTTCTGTCAGGCATTCTACTCCTCCAGACTGTACCATCCTTCCACTAGAAGGGTGGAATACACATCAGATTACAGGTATGAATGCTTTTGGAATATGCTTTATTTTTCAGGCCCATGGGTTGAAATACAAGAAAAACAACACATTCGTGATACATCAAATTTAGGATATAACTGCTAGAGCAGGAGGAAGATAAATGGCGTCAAGGAGAGGTTCATGGGGGTTTTTTGTTAGTGAAACTGAGAATGTTAACAGTGATAAAATTGAGTACATGAGTTTTCATTATATTGTACTATGTTTTGTTTCGTTTATTTATTTTATTTTTGTTTTGTTTTTAAATAGAGATGGGGGTCTTGCTACAATGTCCAGGCTGGTCTTGAACTCCTAAGCTCAAGTCATCCTCCAGCCTTGGCTTCCCAAATTTCTGGGATTACAGGTGTGAGCCACCGAGTCTGGCCCTGTGATCCATCTTGAAGTAATGTTTGTATATTGACTCTATTTTTGTTTGCTTTTACTTTACCCTCACCTGACTGATAAAGTTGAGAGATCCTCATTATTTTCTTCTTGTGGGGTAATGGCAGAAGACTGCTCTGTAACTTTTACCAAACACTTTACCGAGTTGCTGCAGCCAATTCGTTTATATGTCACTGAAAACTCAGACAAATCGAGTCATTTCTCTGCTTTTTAAAATAATTACTCCTCATCACACTTTCAGGGCCTCCAGGGGCCTGGTTTGAAAGCAGAACATTCAGGAAAGCCATAGGAAAACAGCATCCTGGCTTAAAAGTTACCACCTGAAATAATAAATATTACATGTGAACAGATGCTTATTTAATGGATTTTGATGGCTTCTTTACCTTTTATTTAAGCACCTTGTATATTGCTAGCATTGAAATAGTATTAATGTCACTGAACTAGAAGGACTCCTCATTAACACCAATAAATGGGAGAGAATGCACTAAGCCAAAAAGTTGCCATCTTATAACTTGTAAAACTCTCTTAAATGTAGATCTGTATTTAAAGCAGCAGGCCAACTTATTTATGTGATGTTGATGTGGTGCTGAATAGGAAAAAACATAGCAAAATGGAAAGGATTAGGGAGGCGGGGACATAAAATCCTTTAATACTGCTTAGTAAGGTATTTTATCCATTTGAAGAAATCTAAAATTCTTTATGAAAGAGATGTGTGTTTAAAATTGAGGGTGGGTAACGTTGCTAAATCATTGGGTGTTAGCCAGGTTTGGATACAGTGTACAGCTGAAAGGAATGTTAATTTTGTTAGATTATTGTCAACAATACTTCTCAGAAAACAAAACAAAAAGCCCAGAGCAAACCAAAAAACCAAAAATGTTTGAGAAATTATTCTCAGATTGTCAGAAAAAAGAGTTTGAATAGTTATTTTAGATTTCGTATTTGGAGGGTAATAATTTTGAGTTTGGTTAAAACATGAGAATTCAATAGTATTATTATTATTTTTTTTGAGTGCCTCTAAAATTGTTAATTGTCCTCTTCTTCTGTGCTTCATACCTGGATGGAAAATTGCTTCAGGATATCAGTCTGCATGTCTGGAGAAACGAATGCTGCTTAGTTTAGGAGCAGACCAGTGAAGCAACACAAGCTGATAGGGCCCTGACTCATTCTCCTTGTTTACACCTGATGTTTAGCTCATCTGCACCTATAATTTCAGCCATTACCTGAGTGTCTGTGATGTTTAGCTGTACCTTTTTGTCCCCAGCCTTTCAGTTATCCCTTCACATTTAACCGTGACTGAGGCAAACTTCTTTGCAGTCACTTACTGTTTAATGAAGGGGCTAGAGTTTCTGGCCCTGTCTCCTCTGTTCTCTGACTTGGAGGCTTTCTCATTGTTCATGTGCTTCCTAACTTTCATCTTAAGGCTTATAAAGAAAACAAGGAGTAACTCCTCACATGTCCCTAGTTAGTAGGCATTACTTTGAACAAACATACATTCTTAGTTTATAATGGAAAATAGTATGGTAGTTACTATTCATACTAAATGTAGGCTGTGAACTTTATGAACTGTTAGAATTTTTTTTTTTCTTTTTTGAGATAGGGTTTCACTCTGTTACCCAGGCTGGAATGCAGTGGCATGATCATATCTTACTGCAGCCTCCATCTCCCAGGCTCAGGTGATCCTCCCACCTCAGCCTCCTGAGTAGCTGGGATTACAGACACACACTACCACATTCAGTAATTTTTTTTTTATTTTTTATTTTTTTGAGACGACGTCTCGCTCTGTCTCCCAGGCTGGAGTGCAGTGGCATGATCTTGGTTCACTGCAACCTCTGCCTCCCGGGTTCAAGCAATTCTCGTGCTTCAGCCTCCCAGGTAGCTGAGACTACAGGCATGTGCCACCACGCCTGGCTAATTTTTGTATTTTTAGTAGAGATGGGGTTTCGCCATGTTGGCCAGGCTGGTCTCGACCTCCTGGCCTCAAGTGATCTGCCCGCCTCAGCCTCCCAAAGTATTGGGATTATAGGCGTGACCCAGCACGCCTGGCCACATCTGATAAATTTTGTATTTTTTGTAGATACAGGGTTTTGCCATGTTTCCCAGGCTCATCTTGAACTCCTGGCCTTAACTGATCCTCCTACCTTAGCCTCCCAAAGTTCTAGGATTAAAGGTGTGAGCCACTGTGCACAGCCTGTTTTCTTTTTTTTTGAGACAGAGTCTCGCTCTTGTTGCCCAGGCTAGAGCTCAGGGGCGCGATCTCAGCTCACTGCAACCTCCATCTCCCGGATTCAAGCAATTCTCCTGCCTCAGCCTCCTAGTAGCTGGGATTACAGGCGCCCACCACCACGCCTGGCTAATTTTTGTACTTTTAGTAGAAATGGGGTTTTGCCGTGTTGGCTAGGCTGGTCTCGAACTCCTGACCTCAGGTGATCTGCCCACCTCAGCCTCCCAAAGTGCTGGGATTACAGGCGTGAGCCACTGCGCCCAGCGTTTTTGTTATTGTTGTTTTGTTTTGTTTATTTTAAGAGACAGGGTCTCACTCTGTCTCCTGGGCTGGAGTGCACTGGCATGATTATAGCTCACTGTAACTAGTTTTGACCTCCTGACCTTAAGCAATCCTCCTGCCTTAGCCTCTCGAGTAGCTGGAATTAGTGGTACATGTCACCATGCCTGGCTAATTTTTTAATTGTTTTGCAGAGACAGGATATTGCTCTGTTGCCCAGGCTTGCCTTGAATTTCTGGCCTCAAGTGATCCTCCTACCTAAGCCTCCCAAAGTGCTGGGATTACAGACTGAGCCACTGTGTGTGGTTCTGGAATTTTTACAGATAGTATTAACCTTTGGATTTTTGCCTTTCTTTTCCATTTAAAACAGTTTCCATAAACCCTCCCTTTCCCTTTTTTATTGCAGTGGGAATCCATTGCTTGTTTATTAATAATAATAATAATTCTTATTTTTGAGGCGGAGTTTCACTCTTCTTGCCCAGGCTGGAGTGCAATGGCACGATCTCAGCTCACTGCAACCTCCGCCTCCCAGGTTCAAGCGTTCTCCTGCCTCAGCCTCCCAATTATTATTATTATTTCTGAGATGGAGTATTGCTCTGTCGCCCAGGCTGGAGCGTAGTGGCGCGATCCCGGCTTACTGCAACCTCCACCTCCCAGGTTCAAGCAATTCTCCTGCCTCAGCCTCCCAAGGAGCTGGAATTACAGGCACCCGCCACCACGCCTGGCTAATTTTTGTATTTTTAGTGGAGCCGGAGTTTCACCATGTTGGCCAGGCTGGTCTCGAACTTCTGACCTCAAGCGATCCACCAGCCTCAGTTTCCCAAATGCTGGGATTACAGGCGTGAGCTACTGTGCCTGGCCAGAATCTATTATTTATTGAGAACTTCCTCTTAATATTGTCTGATCAGCTAAAGACTGGTGAGTACTCTTCTTCACTTGTAGTATGAGGAAGCAGAAGTGAACAGCACTGCTGCTCAGCTGCAGTTGCTTCCATAGGCTTGCTAGAAGCACCAGAAGTCTCCCACTGGGCACCAGAATCTTTGGGTTGTGTGCCATCAGGTCTTATTCCATATATGGAATATTATTGCTCCTCAAAAGAAAAACATGTTGAGACAGTAGTTATTAAGAAGTCAGGCTTTGCCACAATCCCTTTTAAATACAGTACCTCAGGCCTTTCCCAACATGAATTTTAAATTCTTTCAGAATCACAAATTTTTCACAAGGACAGATGATTCATTAATTTTGCTTTGTGGAAAGAAAAGATCTCAAGTTAATTTCCACAACCTAAATGAATTGACTGTGGAGTTTAAGCTCTGGGAAAACTAAAACATACTAAGAACATTGAGTTTTAAATGGAAGCAAGATATTTTCAGTTGATCTGCCAGTGTATGGAAATCTGCAGCATTTGCCCCTTCAGTACCATCTATCCCAATTGCATAGTCTGTGGCCTACATGAGTATTTTTCCACTCCAGTTTGCCACATCTTTCTTGGCATCAAATTACTTTTCTACTTAAATGAAATTGCTAGTTTAACCACTGGTGAATGCACTCATGGAAGTGAAAATGAAAACTATTTATTCAAGAGTTTCAGTAATGTTACTGCTGTGTGCATTGCATATGACCATAGTATTTTTATACTGATGATCTTTGTTTCCCTAATGTTATATTTTAAGTTGGCTGTGTATGCAGAGTAGAACTCCTTAGCAAACAAGAGTCCTCATACACATGACCCAATTTACTTCCCTAGACTTTAAGGGAGGAAATGTTGTGTACTTTGTGTACAGTTGCCCTCAATTTCATCCTGGGAAATACTTTGTTAACAGAATTCTTTTTTTTTTTTTTTGAGACTTGCTCTGTCACCCAGGCTGGAGTGCAGTGGTGCGATCTCAGCTTACTGCAACCACCACCTCCTGGGTTCAAGCAATTCTCCTGCCTCAGCCTTCCAAGTAGCTAGGACTACAGGCACGCGCCACCACGCTTGGCAAATTTTTTTTTTTTTTTTTTTTTTTAATTATACTCTAAGTTTTAGGGTACATGTGCACATTGTGCAGTAGAGACGGGGTTTCACCACGTTGGCCAGGCTGGTCTCAAACTCTTGACCTTGTGATTCGCCCACCTCAGCCTCCCAAAATGCTGGGATTACAGGTGTGAGCCACCTTGCCCAGCCCAACAGAATTCATATTTAACAGATACCTCTTGTGGCCCCTTGTAAGGCAAGAATAAAGGTCTTCAGTTTTAGTTTCTTTCCTTCCCTCTCTTGTCCATTGATCCCTGGATTTGTGTTCTGGCATCCTGTTTAGTGGGCATGACATAATGGCTTTTTCTTCTATTTTCTTTCCCATTTTCTCTTTCCTTCATTAGGCATTTCCAACCTGCTTCTTTCATATTTCTCACATATGGCCCCCTAGTGATCCCAGACAAAGAAGTCTAAGGTTCTGGTAACTTTAGATGGATTTGAAAGAGGAAAAGGTGGAATAGATAACTTTTCCTGAAATAAAACAGAAGTTTCTAATAATGCTTCTTAAAAATACTTAAATGCAACCAATGTATTATTAAAAATAACCCACTGTACGTTCATGAAATCCTTTCCATTGAGGTCCTATACTCAGCTATGTGCTTGTTAGGAAGTGATGGGAATGTAGGAACTCTTTGCTCCCACTTTTTTGTTGTTGTTGTCAAAGGCAAGGCTGGGCCTTGCTCTGTCTACCCTGGCTGGAGTGCAGTGGTGCGATCATAGCTCACAGCATCCTCTAACTCCTGGGCTCAGGAGATTTTCCCGCCTTAGCCTCCCAAGAAACGAGAATTACAGGAGCGTGCCACCACTTGGCTAATTAAAAAAAGTTTTTTTAGTAGAGACAGGGTTCTCACTATGTTGCCTAGGGTGGTCTCGAACTCTTGGGCTCAAGTGATCCTTCTGCCTCAGCCTCCCAAGGAGCTGGAATTACAGGCATGAGTCACTGTTCCCTGCCTCCTTCTACCTTTTAGCTTTTTGTTTAGCGATCATTATTACTCTTCTCTCCAGTAGATATACTATTTGATCAAGATGTGGGTAATTAGTCTCTAATTTCCCTACAAGAAAATATTTTCTAGGCCAGGCGCGGTGGCTCACGCCTGTAATCCCAGCACTTTGGGAGGCCAAGGTGGGTGGATCGGGAGTTCGAGACCAGCCTGACCAACATGGAGAAACCCTATCTCTACTAAAAATACAAAATTAGCCGGGCGTGGTGGTGCATGCCTGTAATCCCAGCTACTCAGGAAGCTGAGGCAGGAGAATCGCTTGAACCTGGAAGGTGGAGGTTGCTGTGAGCCAAGATCACTCCATTGCACTCCAGCCTGGGCAACAAGAGCAAAACTCCATCTCAGAAAGAAAAAAAAAAAAAGAAAATATCTTCTATAAGCCTTTGTTAATAAGGAATTGGCTGCATTTTTATTTTTATATACTTATTTTTTTTGAGACAGAGTTTTGCTCTTGTTGCCCAGGCTGGAGTGCAGTGGCGCAATCTCAGCTCACTGCAACCTCCACCTCCCAGGTTCAAGTGATTCTCCTGCCTCAGCATCCCTGGTAGCTGGGACTACAGGCGCCTGCCACCATGCCCAACTAATTTTTTGTATTTTTAGTAGAGATGGGGTTTCACCATGTTGGCCAGGCTGGGCTTGAACTCCTGATCTCAGGTGATCCACCTGCCTCAGCCTCCCAACGTGCTGGGATTACAGGCATGAGCCACACTGCGCCTGGCCTTGCATTTTTATTCTTTCAAAATATGAAAGGAATTCTTAGAGGCTTTAAAGTATAGATTTTCCTTTTCTTTTCTTTTCTTTCTTTCTTTTTTTTTTTTTTTTGAGAGATGGTGTCTTGCTCTGTCGTTCAGGCTGGAGTGCAGTGGCGCAATATCGGCTCACTGCAACTCCACCTCACTGGTTCAAGTGATTCTCCTGCCTCGGCTTCCCGAGTAGCTTGGACTATAGGCGTGTGCCACCACGCCCAGCTAATTTTTGTATTTTTTCGGTAGAGATGGCGTTTCACTATACGTTGGCCAGGCTGGTTTCGAACTCCTGACCTCAGGTGATCCGCCTGCCTTGGCCTCCCAAAGTGCTGGGATTACAGGCGTGAGCCACCGCGCCTGGTCAAAGTATAGATTTTTCAAAATCAAAATTTGATTTTATCTTACATTTTATGTTGACCAATTATAAAGTAGATAAGAAAATAAGAAAATTGACATTGTCGAGATTCAGTTTAAATGTGTATTTTAAAAATAATTTTTGATTTATTACATACCTTCAGAAAAGTGCACAGATCATAAAAACGTGCAGCTGGATGAATTTTCACAGGCTGACAATACTTTTGTTAGCAGTGCCCAGATCAGGAAACATTATCAAAACCTAAAATCCTACTCATGCACATTTTCAGGCACTTCACCTCCCATCCAAGTGTAGCCTCTAATACTGTAGCTTAGTTTTCCCTGTTTTTGAACTTCATGTAAAAATGAAAAAAATAGGCCAGGGGTGGTGGCTTATGCCTGTAATCCCAGCACTTTGGGAGGCTGAGGCAGGCGGATCACCTGAGATCAGGAGTTCGAGACCAGCCTGGCCAACATGATGAAACCCCCATCTCAACTAAAAATACAAAAATTAGCCAGGCATGGTGGTGCTCGCTGGTAATCCCAGCTACTTGGGAGGCTGAGATGGGAGAATTGCTTGAACCTGGGAGGTAGAGGTTGCAGTAAGCTGAGATAGCACCATTGCACTCCAGTCTGGGTGACACAGTGAGACTTCATCTCAAAAAAAAAAAAAAAAAGCCGGGCACGGTGGCTCATGCCTGTAATCCCAGCACTTTGGGAGGCCGAGGTGGGCGGATCACCTGAGGTCAGGAGTTTGAGACCAGCCTGACCAACATGGAGAAACCCTGTCTCTACTAAAAGTACAAAACTAGCCGGACATGGTGGTGCATGTCTGTAATCCCAGCTACTAGGGAGGCCGAGGCAGGAGAATCTCTGGAACCCAGGAGGCGGAGGTGGCAGTGAACCGAGATCGTGCCACTGCACTCCAGCCTGGGCAACAAGAGCAAAACTTCGTCTCAAAAAAAAAAAAAAAGTAAAAGATATAGTATAGTATGTACTCTTTTGTGTTTGGCTTCTTTTCCTTAGCTTACTTTTATGAGCTTAAACCATTTGCTGTGTATACCTGTAGTTTATTGTTTCTCATTGTTATACTGCATATTTTGAATTTTTCACAATTTATCCATTCTAGTGTAGAAGAGGTTCAGAGACAGATTCTGTATTTGCCAGAGGCACAGAATTAAAAAAGAAAAGCTCTTTAAAACAGTGAAGAATAAAACAAATATTTTAACAAAACCTTGCTTATTTTACTAGGTAAAAAACATCTAGGCTGGGCGCGGTGGCTCACGCCTGTAATCCCAGCACTTTGGGAGGCCGAGGCAGGCGGATCATGAGATCAGGAGATCAAGATCATCCTAGCTAACACAGTGAAACCCAGTGTCTACTAAAAATACAAAAAAAAAAAAATCTGGAGTACGAGAACCAGAAATATACATATTTCCTTCTGTACCTAGCATAGTACCTTACTCAAATATTTGTTTGTTGTATGAACAAAGAGGTGATTGAGAAACTAGATGAATTTTTGAGTGTGTGTGTGTGTGTGTGTTTTTGAGATGGAGTCTCACTCTATCGCCCAGGCTGGAGTGCAGTCGCCCGATCTCAGCTCACTGCAAGCTCCGCCTCCCAGGTTCAGGCCATTCTCCTGCCTCCTGAGTAGCTGAGACTGCAGGTGCCTGCCACCACACCCGGCTAATTTTCTTGTATTTTTAGTAGAGACGGGTTTCACCGTGTTAGCCAGGATGGTCTCGATCTCCTGACCTCATGATCCGCCTGCCTCAGCCTCCCAAAGTGCCTGGCCACCATGCCTGGCCAAATTTTTGAATGTTTTATATCAACTTTTAGGTTCTCTTTCCCATGCTGTTTGGGAAGATTTTGAAATTAGCCTGAACTATCATTGCTGTATTGCTGCTTCTACCAATTCCATTATTATCTGTGTGTATACATGCCTTTTACTATAAGCTTGGTATGTTTAATTCTGTCTAGAAGTGTTATATCATTGCTTCTCTCTGTATTATAGAAGTTTGACATCAGATTAAATTTGTTATCTTGAAATACTCTGCTTTATGGTAATTCAACCAGTATTTAATTCAGTAGACATTGAATGAACATCCCCTACGTATTAGTCAGTGTTGCAGAGGTGCTTGTTTGAAATCTGGCCATTGGTGGAAATACTTTAAACAGTTTTTGTAGCTATCACAGTAGCTCATATTTTAGTAGCTATATTTTATATGTTTTTAGTCTACTTTAATGCACATGATTTTGCTCAAGATATGTTTTTGTTGAATGAGTTAGGAGATTTGCTCCTTAATTCTTCATGCTGAGTTTAAACTTATATCTAATTTAGAAGGAGAGATATAGTACAAAGATACCTTTTTCTTATATAACCGAATGAGTCCCCCACCTCAAGATGTTTAAACTATATAGATCTTGTAGTATACTCACAAAGTTCCCATTCAAAATGCTAAAAGTTTAGCAAGATAGTGTAGACATGGCACAATCTTAGAGATCCCCATTATTGTAATTTCTTCATTTTGGTAAGTTTGACATTCTGACATTCTGATTTTTGTTATTTAATTTTTTTTTTTTTTTTTTTTTTTTAGACGGAGTTTTGCTTTTGTTGCCCAGGCTGGAGTGCAATGGCGCAATCTCAGCTCACCACCATCCGCCTCCTGGGTTCAAGCAATTCTCCTGCCTCACCCTCCCAAGTAGTTGGATTACAGGTGCACACCACCATGCCTGGCTAACTTTGTATTTTTAGTAGAGAAATGTAAAAAAATGTATTACGGTTTTTTGTTTTGGTTTGGTTTTTTGAGATGGAATATCGTTCTGTTGCCCAGGCTGGAGTGCAGTGGCGCAGTCTTGGCTCACTGTAACCTACACCTCCCAGGTTCAAGCTATTCTCCTGTCTCGGCCTCCCAAGTAGCTGGGATTACAGGCACGTGCTGCCATGCCTGGATAATTTTTTGTATTTTAATAGAGACGGGGTTTCACCATGTTGCCCAGGCTGTTCTTGAACTCCTGATATCAGGCAATCCACCTGCCTCGGCCTCCCAGAGTGCTAGGATTACAGGCATGAGCCACCGCGCCCGGCCATATTATGTTTTTAGAGACAGGCTCTTGCTCTGTTGCCCAGGCTGGAGTGCAGTAGTGTGATCAGCTTGGAACTCCTGGGCTCTAGGGATCCTCCCACCTCAGCCTCCCAGGTAGCTGAAACTACAGGCATGTGCCACCCTGCCTGGCTAATTTTTAAGAAATATATTTTGTAGGCCGGGTACAGCGGGTCACGCCTGTAATCCCAGCACTTTGGGAGGCTGAGGTGGGCGGATCCCCTGAGGTCAGGAGTTCCAGACTAGCATGGCCAATATGGGGAAACCTCATCCCTACTAAAAATACAAAAATTAGTCAGGCGTGGTGGCGCGCTTGTAATCCCAGCTCCTAGGGAGACTGAGGCAGGAGAATCGCTTGTACCTGGGAGGCGGAGGTTGCAGTGAGCCGAGATTGCACCACTCCACTCCAGCCTGGGCCACAGAGCGAGACTCCGTCTCAAAAATATATATATATTTTGTAGAGACAGGTTCTTGCTGTGTTGCCCAGGGTGGTTTTGAACTCCTGGCCTCAAGCATTCCTTTCACCTTGGCCTCCCAAAAGTGTCCAATTTCTGTTAATTAAAAAAATTAAATTTTTAAAATTTAATGGGCTGATTAAAAAAAACCCCAATAAATATAAAATTGTTTGAAAGCAATGAAAAAAAATCTATTAATTGGACCAAAGCTTAGGGTAATATTCTGGGACACTTTGGAGAGAAACAACTTCTATAATTTTAATTTCATGCCCAGTACTTTTGAGTGTATGTATTTAAGGTTGTTTTATTAACCATTTCAAATGTAAATATCCTAATACCATTTAATAATTCTTTAGTTACTCTTCAACATAAACTTGAATTTAAAAAAGGAAACAAAGCCAGGCATGGTGGCATATACCTGTAGACCCAGCTACTTGGCTCAGGAGGCTGAGGTGGGAGAATCATTTGAACCCAGGAGTTTGAGGTTTGAGTCCAGCTTGGGCAACATAATGAGACCCCATCTCAAGGGAAAAAAAAAAAAAAAAAGGGAAAGAAAAGAAAAACAGGCGGAAGTGAAAAATATTTCCTATGTGCCTTCTGTTGTTAATTGGTTTGTTTGTTTTACGTGGATTTATATATTAAAGCTAGGGCCAAATTTGGGATAACCTGAGCAGCTGTCTTTGGAATGCACAGAAAATGCCTTTACTAGAGTATGTGTTATTACCTGAGGGTGGGACTCCCTTAGCAAACACCTTATACTAATGTCCTGGTCACAGGGTTGTGATGTGTTTGATACATGAGTGAGATATACGTTGTGTCCTTTCTTTAAGTTCTTCAAAAATAAACCCTTATTCATTATCCTCTGAAGTTTGCAGTCTGTATTTTGGTGGTGATCTTAAGCTCTGCTTTAAGGAAAAAGTCTTTTATAGGTTTTAGGGTACTTCTTTCCTTTGTGTACTTATCTTGGTAGCTCTTTAAGGAAGAATAATCCCTAACAGCCAAGACTACCTTTCATGATATCTTACAACCCTTAACTGACTATCAACAACCTTTCAACAGTAACTCCCTGATTATCTATCACCTTGAACCCTACACTCTAGCCTTTCCTAGCTACTTTCATTTGTCTGAATGTTTCTTTTTCCCCTTGCCTCTAAGTCTTTGCCTCTGTGCTGTAACACTAGCCAGGCAGGCTTATTTCTAGGTTATCTGCCTGGGACTCTTCTACTTGTCTTTTAATGATCAAGGTGTCCTATGTGAAACCTTTCCTGACTGACTCCACCCTACCACCCCCACTTCAAAGTTGAGCATGCCTTTGTGTTTGTATTTATTTATTTATTTATTTATTTATTTTTGAGACAGAGTCTCTCTGTCACCAGGCTGGACTGCAGTGGCGTGATCTCAGCTCACTGCAACCTCTGCCTCCCGGGTTCAAGCGATTCTCCTGCCTCAGCTTCCCAAGCAGCTGGGACTACCGGCGTGTACCACCAGGCCCAGCTGATTTTTGTATTTTTAGTAGAGACAAGTTTTCACCATGTTGGCCAGGATGGTCTCGATCTCTTGACTTCATGATCCACCCACCTCGGCCTCCCAAAGTGCTGGGATTACAGGCGTGAGCCACCGCGCCCAGCCTTTATTTTTCTTTTTGAGACGGAGTTTCACTCTTGTTGCCCTGGCTGGAGTGCAATGGCACGATCTTGGCTCACCGCAACCTCCGCCTCCTGGGTTCAAGCGATTCTCCTGCCTCAGCCTCCTGAGTAGCTGGGATTACAGGCATGCACTACCACACCTGGCTAATTTTGTATTTTTGTAGAGATAGGATTTCTCCATGTTGATCAGGCTGGTTTTGAACTCCCAACCTCAGGTGATCTGCCCGCCTCGGCCTCCCAAAGTGCTGGGATTACAGGCGTGAGCCACCTTGCCCAGCCTATGTTATTTTTTTACTTTGTATATTTTGTATGTATTTCTATAATAGTGCTTAATATACTGAGTCATAATTATTTATTCATTAGTAGAGTATAGTAATGGTTACATGCTTGATCTTTCCATCTTTGCTATTTAATGGCAGAGTGACAGTGGCAAGTCTTTTTTTAATCATTAAGACCTCAGTTTCTTTATATGTAAAATGGGAGTAATAACGTGCCCATTTTATAAGGTTATTGTGAGATTAAATGAAATTATACACATTTCATTAATTATACACATTAAAGCAAAGCACTTACCTCTTTTTGGCACATATTGCATGTTAAATTGGTAGTAAAAGGGGTGATTTCATGTGTGTCCTCTGTTATATATTGGCTTCTTGAATAAAACACATGGAATGTGTTTTATTCTCAGTATTTTGCCTGTGATAGGTTTCTTCAGAAAATGCTTACTCAGTGGGTTGATAATTGTCCACTACTATGAGAATTTCACACCCACTTTTCTTTATGTTCTTATATACTTTGAAAAAATTTTTCATTCTAATAGTCTGTACTATGATAAATACTGTTATTCTTCTTATTTTTTTTTTTGAGATGGAGTCTCACTCTGTCACTGAGGCTGGAGAGCAGTGGCATAATCTTGGCTCACTGCAGCCTCTGCCTCCTGGGTTCAAGTGATTCTCCTGCCTCAGCCTCCCAAGTAGCTGGGAGTACAGGCGCGTGCCACCACGCCCGGCTAATTTTTGTATTTTTAGTAGAGATGGGGTTTCACCATGCTGGCCAGGCTGGTCTGGAACTCCTGACCTTGTGTTCCACCCGCCTTAGCATCCCAAAGTACTGGGATTACAGGTGTGAGCCACCGTGCCCAGCTGATAAATACTATCATTTTAGAGTTCTTTTTTTTTTTTTTTTTTTTTTGAGACTCTCACTCTGTTGCCCAGGCTAGAGTGCGGTGGCATGATCTCGACTCACTGCAACCTCTGCTCCCAGGTTCAAGTGATTCTCCTGCTTCAGCCTTCCAAGTAGCTGGGACTACAGGCACCTGCCACCATGCCCGGCTAATTTTTTTGTAGTTTTTAGTAGAGATGGAGTTTCACCATCTTGGCCAGGCTGGTCTTGAACTCCTGACCTCGTGATCCACCCGCCTCGGCCTCCCAAAGTGCTGGGATTACAGGCGTGAGCCACCACGCCCAGCCTTTTATTTTTTTTTTTTTTATTTTTTTTGAGACAGTCTCGCTCTGTTGCCCAGGCTGGAGTGCAGTGGTGTGATCTCGGCTCACTGCAACCTCCATCTCTCAGGTTCAAGTGATTCTCCTGCCTCAGCCTCCCAAGTAGCTGGGATCACAAGTGTGCACCACCACGCCTGGCTAATTTTTTTGTATTTTGTATTTTGTATTTTTCCATATAGACAGAGTTTCACCATGTTGGCCAGGCTGGTTTTGAACTCCTGACCTCAAGTGATCTGCCCACCTCAGCCTCCCAAAGTGCTAGGATTATAGGTGTGACCCACTGCACCTGGTCTTATTTTAGAGTTTTTGTGTAGTGTGTTGTGGCTTCAACATATATACAACTCTAATAAACATATATTTTATATGTACATATGTGTGTATGTATGTTTGAGGCAGAGTCTCGCTCTGTCGCCCAGGCTGGATTGCAGTGGCACGATCTTGGCTCACTGCAACCTCCACCTCCCGGGTTCAAGTGATTCTCCTGCCTCAGCCTCCTGAGTAGCTGGGATTACAGGCGCCTGCCACCACGCCTGGCTAATTTTGGTATATTTAGTAGAGATGGGGTTTCACCATGTTGGCCAGGCTGGTCTGGAACTCCTGACCTCAGGTGATCCACCCATCTCAGCCTCCCACAGTGCTGGGATTACAGACGTGAGCCACCGTGCCTGGCCTGTTTTTTATCTTAATATTAATTTAATTTAATTTTGACATATGGTCTCGTTCTGTCACCCAGGCTGGAGTGCAGTGGTGCAGTCTCGATTCACTGCAACCTCCACCTCCTAGACTTAAGCTATTCTCCTGCCTAAGCCTCCCAGGTAGCTGGGATTACAGGCATGTGCCACCATGCCTGACTAATTCTGTATTTTCAGTAGAGATGGGGTTTCACCATGTTGGCCAGGCTGTTCCCGAACTCCTGACCACAGATGATCCACTCACCTCAGACGATCCACCCACTCCCTCCCAAAGTGTTGGGATTACAGACGTGAGCCACTGTGCCCGGCCTATTTTAACTTTAAGTAAGGGTTACTTACCATCCTGGGTAATGCAGTGAGAGCCTGTCTCTATGAAAATATTAAAAAATTAGCCAGGTGTGGTGATGCATGCCTGTTGTCCCAGCTACACGGGAGGCTGAGGTGGGAGGATCCCTTGAGCCCAGGAATTTGAGGCTGTAGGAATTCAAGGCTGTAGGATTGTGCCACTGCATTTCAGCCTAAGTGACAAAGATTGTCTCTAAAAATAAAAAAAGAAAAGTGAGATGTTTCCTATTAAAGAAGCCATTATGGTTCATACGTGTATGTTCTCCTACTCATTCCAGGTACTTCTTTGCATTGTTACTGAGATAATGTTTGTTTACCATTCTTCTGCTTCCAGGATTTCCACCAACAGAAACTAAAAACTTAATTATTAAATTAGAGCACTGGGGCGTTTTAAAGATTTGTGGATGTGTGTGCGGTACCAAAGCTATTATAACTTGAATTTTCAGCTTTTTTCTGGCCTTTATGATGTTAGTGTGACAGGTTCATATATTTAAGAAGGTGCTGAGAGGAACATGTTTCTTTAGAGTCCTGGCTTGCTTTATGCGCTTTATCTCATTAACCCTCACAGCAGTTCTATTGCATGCATAGATCAGATACAGAAAGGCTCAGAGGTTTTTCTTTTGTTTTTGATACAGGGTCCTGATCTGTCACCCAGGCTGGAGTGCAGTGGCGTGATCACAGCTCACTGCAGCCTCAAACTCTCAGGCTCAAGTGATCCTTGCACCTCAGCCTCCTGAGTAGCTAGGACCACCGGTATGCACCACTGTGCCTGGCTAATTAAAAAGAAAAAAATTTGTAGAGATGAGGGTGGGGAGGTCTTACCATGTTACCCAGGCTGGTCCTGAACTTCTGGGCTCAAGCCGTCCTCTGTCCTCGGCCTCACAAAATACAGGGATTAACAGACAGGAGCCACTGCACCCAGCCCATTATGTATATAAGATAATACTTCTTGGAAGGAGGTTCTAATTATTTTGTTAATTCATTCAGTAAACACTTACTGAGCTCCTGCTCTTTACCATGTACTCTGTCAATTTCTGAAATCCATGAAAATGTCAAGTTCTGCTGAATTAGGTAATAATGGTAATACCTGAAATTTGTATGGCTTTCACAATTTTTAAAATTATTTTTCACAAGTTAATTCACTTAATCTTCATAATAATTCCCTAAGGATAGGTATTATGATTTTATATATAAAGAAATTGAAATCAGGCTGGGCATGGTGGCTCACGCCTATAATCCCAGTACTTTGGGAGGCCACGGTGGGAGGATTGCATGAGATCAGGAGTTCAAGACCAGTCTGGGCAACGTGATGAAATCCCACCTCTACAATTAAAAAAAAAAAAAAATTAGCTGAGCATGGTGTGCACCTATAGTTTCAGCTACTCAGGAGGCTGAGATGGGAAGATCGCTTATACATGGGAAGTCACAGCTGCATTGAGCTGTGATTGCACCATTGTACTCCAGCCCCATGGGTGACAGAGTGAGACCCTGCCCCCCCCCCAAAAAAAAATAGAAGTAATGGAATTAAACCACTTACATGGATGTAAGCTCTGAAGGGATGGACATATGGGAAGCACAATCTCTTCTAAAAAGTAATAACCTTCTTTTGAAAAATAGTATTCTTCTCTGGTGCCATTTATCTACTTTTAGTTTGGCTGGGGTTGCTGTGCCACTTTTCTAACCATGCTCTTCCCCTGTCATTGCTGCAAAGCCCATGAGTGGGAAGGAGAGTGTGGCTATGACTGTCCAGGCTCCTTAGTACTTCCAATGGCTCAAAAACGACCATTTGCTTCTGGAGTGGGAAGCCTACTGACTTAAATATTGATCCCTGATCATTTTTTTTTTAAAGTCTGGATATCTGACATAGAAAAAGTGAGTTATTTCTGAGTGAAAAGACTGTGGCCTGAATCTTTACAGTACGTTAACGGTAAAGTAATAAAATGTAGCCTTCTGTTAGATTATTAGCCAAGGCATATGTTTGGCCTTTCTTTTTCCTTTTTTCCCATTTTTAAAACATGAATTAAAATGCTCACTCACTGGGGAGGCCGAGGTGGGCAGATTACTTGAGCCCAGGAGTTCGTGACCAGCCTGGGCAACATGGTGAAACCCTGTCTCTACAAAAAATACAAAAATTAGCCGAACATTGTGGCATGCACCTGTAATCCCAGGTACTTGGGAGGCTGAGGTGGAAGGATTGCTTGAACCCAGGACATTGAGGCTGTAGTGACTGTGATTGAGCCACTGCACTCCAGCCTGGATAATAGAGCAAGACCCTGTCTCAAAAAAATAAAATTAAAAATTTTAAAATGCTCACTTACTCTCATAACTGGTGAGACTTTTGTGTTAATCTTAGATAAAAGCTGACTACTTCAGTTTTTAACTATAAAGACCCAGTGAGCAAGCTTGAGTTCTGACTCATTTGTACTGGCTGCTGAGTAATCTATACAAATAGTGCTTTATGATTTTATGCTATCTTAAAAAAACAAATGGAAGATTGGAGATAAATTCAGGAGCAGATGACAAGGGTTTTTAGCCATGGCTTTGCCGTAGGCTGGCTGTGACTTAGAAGAAGTTTTCTGATTTCTTTAGGCCTCAGATTTCTTAGGTTTCAGTTTAAATATCTTTATAAATAAGCATGTTGTAGGAGTCTCTCAACTTATCCTGGTTGAGAGAGCTGCCTGAAAAAAAATTTTTTTTAGGTAAAAATGAACATGTTGGACTGAATTATTACTGAGGTCTCCTGTAGCTCTGAAATTCTGTTATCTATTGTCTTTGTGCACAGGACACTTTGTGTGTGTGGTGGCAGGTGGTAAACACAATACACTTGGAGTTAATAGTTATTTCATTAATCTTCTCTAAGTATGGTAATTTAACTAGGCTATATTTGGGTATAGCTCTATAATTCATGTATATGTATTATAGTGGTGAATCTTTCTTCTTTCCTAGAATAATCTCCAGGAGAGAGAGGAGGATTTAGCATGCATAAAGATAAATATAATCACAGGATAAGCATGCTTACTGATTATAGGAAGCTAATATTAACACATATTGGCTGTCAGTTGCAAGGGCAAACTTCCACATATCCAAAGCTGCTCTATAGTATTAACTTAATATTACTTGACAAGAATATTTGTCATGGAATTTTGGAATTAAATGTAGATAGTTCTAAAATGACAGTATTCTTTGATGTTTTCAAAGCATTGATGGTTCCATTTTCTTTTCTTCTTCTTCTTTTTTTTTTTTTCTTGAGATGGAGTATCACTTTGTTGCCCAGGCTGGAGTGCAGTGGCACGATCTCGGCTCACTGCAAGCTCTGCCTCCCAGGTTCACGCCATTCTCCTGCCTCAGCCTCACGAGTAGCTGGGATTACAGGCGCCTGCCACCACACCCGGCTAATGTTTTGTATTTTTAGTAGAGACGGGGTTTCACTGTGTTAGCCAGGATGGTCTTGATCTCCTGACCTCGTGATCCACCTGCCTCGGCCTCCCAAAGTGCTGGGATTACAGGCATGAGTCACTGTGCCTGGCCTGTTACAAACAATTTTTTAAAATCTCAAATCATAAGAGGTCTGAAGGTAGACTCTTTTAGGACTGATGCAGCACTCTATGATAATCATGTTTGTTCTGTTATTCATAATAAGGTTGTTTATCTCATGATTGCAACTCCAGACATCTTATCCAAAGCTGCCTTGAGGCATAAATTCAAAGCAGGAAGAAGGGGAAAGGGAAAGATACTGGTTGGGTCTGTCCTCTTTATCAAGAAAAGCTTTCCCAGATGCCCCTTACAGATTTTAGCTTACATCTTGTTGGCCATAACTAGTGGAATGGTTACCAGTAACTGCAAGGGGCATTGGAGAAGTGAGTATTTAACTTTATGGTGAAGATAGATAGGAGAGAGAGGAGGATTGGGAGTGGGTATTGGATTAGCCATCCAAGTGTCTAATACATACTTGTTAAGTTTGCAGTACCTGTAAGACATCAGGTCTGGTTCAGGAACTTTTCATTGTTTAGCCATAAATACCATATTATGAACCATGGAACTACAGTTGATTGATATTAGGAAAGATTAAATAACCTAAGGAAAATTAGATCAGGACCATCAAGGGCCATCATGGAAGAGCTGGGGAATAGGGAGATGTTAATTTAATGGCTGGATCACTGGAGATGTCAACTCAAAGAACATTCTAATATATCTCTGGAATATGAGGCAGTCCCTCCAAAGGCAGAACAAATAGTATTGCAGAATGTGATGATTTATGTTTAGCTGAGAATCTTAAGTGCATGTAATGGCAGTTAATAGTCATTACTACACATATGATTAGAATACAAGCCTAGAGACTAAATAATTTGCTCAAGTCCATGCTATGAGTCAGTAATAGTGCAAGAGGGGGAAAGAAAATAACTCAGTTCTCTGAGGCAGTGAATATGATTCTAGTATATTTAAAAAGTCCGTCTCATTTGGTTGTAAATTTCTTCAATTATTTAATAGTTTGTACGCAATAGTCATAGAAACCAGATTTTATTTTATTTTGTTTTGTTTTGTTTTGTTTTGTTTTGTTTTGTTTTGTTTTGTTTTTGGAGATGGAGTCTCACTGTGTTACCAAGCTGGAGTGCAGTGGCGCGATCTTGGCTCACTGCAACCTCCGACTCCCTGGTTTAAGCAATTCTCCTGCCTCAGCCTCTCGAGTAACTGGGATTATAGGCACGTGCCACCACGCCCAGCTAATTTTTGTATTTTTGGTAGAAACGGGGGTTTCACCATGTTGGCCAGGATGGTCTTGATCTCCTGACCTCATGATCTGCCTGCCTTGGCCTCCCAAAGTGCTGGAATTACAGGCATGAGCCACTGTGCCCAACTCCAGGTTTTGCATTTTTAAGCGAAGGTACCCATAACTTACTTAAGCCTCTTGATGGTTTTATGTAAGTATTTAGAAAATGTATGTTCCAATGCAAGAAAGTCAGATTTTTTTTTTTTTTTTTTTTTTTTTTGAGACAGAGTCTTACTCGTTGCCCAGGCTGGAGTGCAGTGGCATGATCTCGGCTCACTGCAAGCTCCATCTCCCAGATTCACGCCATTCTCCTGCCTCAGCCTCCCGAGTAGCTGGGACTACAGGCGCCCGCCACCACACCCGGCTAATTTTTTGTATTTTTAGTAGAGACGGGGTTTCATCATGTTAGCCAGGATGGTCTCGATCTCCTGACCTCTGATCCTCCCGCCTCAGCCTCCCAAAGTGCTGGGATTACAGGCGTGAGCCACTGCGCCTGGCCAAGAAAGTCAGATTTATTGAGATATAATTTACATACAGTAACATCCACTCTTTAGGCGTACAGTTCCATGTTTTGTTTTTTTTTTTGAGACAGGGTCTTACTCTGTCACCCAAGCTGGAGTGCGGTGGCACAATCATAGGTCATTGCAGCCTTGAACTCCTGGGCTCAAGCAATCCTTCTGCCTCAGCCTTCCTAGTAGCTGGGACTAAAGATGCATGCCACCACATGCTTGGCTAATTAAAAAAAATTTTTTTTAGAGACAAGGTCTCCCTATATTGCCCAGGCTAGTCTCAAACTCTTGGCCTCAAGCGATCCACTTGCCTCAGCCTTCCAAAGCCCTAGGATTACAGGAATAAACCACTGTGCCTGGCCCAGTTCTATGTGTTTTGATGGGTATATACGGTCTATAACTGTCACCACAATTAAGATACATAATATTTCTATCACCCCCAAAAGTTCCCCTGTTCCTCACTTGTAGTTAGTCCTTTTCTCCAACAAGAGCCAGTCTCTAGCAACCACTACTTTGTTTTCTGCCTTTATTGTTTTGCCTTTTCCAGATTGTCATATATGTGGACTCACACAGTATGTAGCCTTTTGATTCTGGTAAGAAAGTCAGATTTGAAGAACGTTTACAAATACAATATAGTAACGCTTATTGTGGCCATTTCATGTTTTAAAAAAAATGAATACAAAGGTTTAAAACATTCAAAACTAAAAGTAAACTTTGTAGTAACAAATACTGATAGTTCACACTTACATACTCCATTGCATTTAGTGTTTACATGTCCCACTTCCTTCTAAACCTAAATTCCTGAACACCTAACACATTGCTTCTACAATGTAATAAATGCTTGATACATGATTTTCTAGTGATGGATGATGTGTTTCTTTTGAAAAATTCTCTGAAATTTTTATCTCATTCCTGAGTTTTATAGGTACTGTTTTCTCTGTTTTACTTATAAGAAACTAATAGAATGTCTGGAAATTTTCTACCAAAAATCTTGAAACTTCTGTATAAGAAATTCATTATGTCAGACAGGGCGTGGTGGCTTACACCTGTAATTCCAGCAGTTTGGGAGGCTGACGTGGGCAGATCACTTGAAGTCAGGAGTTTGAGACCAACTTGATCAACATGGCAAAACCCCCTCTCTCCTAAAAATACAAAAATTAGCCAAGCATGGTGGCGCACGCCTGTAATCCCAGCTCCTCGGGAGGCTGAGACACGAGAATTGCTTGAACCAATGAGGTGGTGGTTGCAGTGAGCCCAGATAATGCCACTGTACTCCAGCCTGGATGACAGAATAAGACTCTCTCTCAAAAAAAGGAAATTTGTTATGTCAGTGTAGAACAATTCTCTTTGCAAATAAGTGGTGTATCAAGGGCTTGAATTCAGATCTTGGTTAATACCTATAATACCTGTCTCTATTAGAAGACTCATGGAACTCAGGTATGAGCTGATAGATACAAAGCAAAGCAAAACAAAACCTACTGAAGCCTCTGGTTGCAAAATAGCACAAAGCTTGAGTCTTTGTTGACACTGCATACTTGACATTTAAACTCAAATGTTTAGGTATTATTTGCCATGAACAACATTGTTTTAAAACTTCCAAAAGATCTTTTCCTAGATAGTCCAGAAAAGCAAACTGGTTTTTAAATCACAATTATTTATGGCATCGTTTTAAATTAATTATCTCATACCGCAAGTTCCTTGCAATAGTTATTTTCTATTATTTCTGCTTTTCCTTGACGTACAACATAAAAAATATCAACTGTAAATTTTTTAATATTTGTCTTTTAAATGATAAGTATAGCTTTTACAAAGCACAATCAAGTAATATTTAAAAGGCTACCAGCCTGGTGCGGTGACTCATGCCTGGAATTCCATCACTTAGGGAGGCCAAGGTGGGTAGATCATCTGAGGTCAGGCATTCGACATCAGCCTGGCCAACATGGTGAAACCCCGTCTCTACTAAAAATACAAAAATTGGTTGGGCGTGGTGGTGTGTGCCTGTAATCCCAGCTACTTGGGAAGCAGAGGTAGGAGAATCACTTGAACCTGGGAGGTGGAGGTTGCAGTAAGCTGAGATCATGCCACTGCACTCCAGCCCAGGCCACAGAGTGAGACTTCATCTCAAAAAAAAAAAAAAAAGATTTTATAAGATGTGTTAAAAAGCAAGATAAAAATTCTATGTATGATTATAGCTATTAAAATGCCTAGACACAAAATACATAGACAAAAAGACTAGAAGGAAAGATACGTTTTATTAGTAATAAAGATGACTATTTTATCTCTTTTCCAGATTTTCTGTGATTTGTTATTTTCTTTTCTTTTTTTCTGAGATGGGAGTTTTTGCTCTTGTTGCCCAGGCTGGAGTGCAGTGGTGCGAACTTGGCTCACTGCAACCTCTGCCTCCCAGGTTCAAGCAATTCTCCTGCCTCAGCCTCCCGAGTAGCTGGGATTACTGGCACATGCCACCATGCCCAGCTAATTTTTTTTTATTTTTAGTAGAGATGAGGTTTCACCACAGTGGCCAGGCTGGTCTCAAACTCCTAACCTCAGGTGATCCACCTGCCTCGGCCTCCTGAAGTACTTGTGAGCCACTGCGCCCAGCCGTTTTGTTCTTATTACTTACAATTCTTTTGCTTTTAGACTTAAAAGTTATAGAAATAATACAGAGTTTCCAGTTTCCCCGAATGTTAACATCTTGCATAACCATTATCAAAACTAAGAATTTTTTTTTTTTTTTTTTGATACAGAGTTTTGCTCTTGTTGCCCAGGCTGGAGTGCAGTCGTGTGATCTTGGCTCACTGCAACCTCTGCCTCCTGGGTTCAAGCGATTCTCCTGCCTCAGCCTCCCAAGTAGCTGAGATTACAGGCGCCCCAGCCACCACGCCTGGCTAATTTTTGTATTTTTAGTGGAGTCAAGGTTTCGCCATGTTGGCCAGGCTGGTTTCCAATTCCTGACTTCAGGTAATGCACCTACCTCAGCCTCTCAAAGCGCTGGGATTTCAGGCATGAGCCACCACACCCAGCCAACATTAGTATGATATTATTAAACTACAGTCTCTTTATGGTTTTCACCCATTTTTCCAGTAATGTCCTTTTTCTGTTCCAGGATCCCACATTACACTTCGTTGTCATGTTTCCTTTGTTTCCTCCAATCTGTGACAGTTTTGTTTTTTTTTTGAGACGGAGTCTCGCTCTGTCATCCAGGCTGGAGTGCAGTGGCCCAATCTCGGCTCACTGCAAGCTCCGCCTTCTGGATTCATGCCATTCTCCTGCCTCAGCCTCCCAAGTAGCTGGGACTACAGGTGCCCGCCACCATGCCCGACTAGTTTTTTGTATTTTGTTTGTAGAGACGGGGTTTCACTGTGTTAGCCAGGATGGTCTTGATCTCCTGACCTCGTGATCCACCCGCCTCAGCCTCCCGAAGTGTTGGGATTACAGGCGTGAGCCACCACACCCGGCCGACAGTTCTTCAGTCTTGTCTTTTCTTTTATGACCTTGACACTTTAGAAGAATACTGGTCAGTGGTTTTGTAGAATGTCCCTCAATTGGGTTTGTCTTATTTCATCATGAATATATGGAGGTTACTCATTCTTGGGAAGGAAACCAGAGAAGTGATGTATCATTCTCAGTGTATCATATTGGGCAGGGGTGGGATATGACTTCAATATTTCTTAATCTAGTCATATAAACCTTGATTACTGTCATGTTTCTCCACATAAAGTTACTATTTTTCCTTTGCAATTTTTTTTTTTTTTTTTTTGAGACGGAGTCTTGCCCTGTTGCCCAGGCTGGAGTGCAGTGGTGCGATCTTGGCTCACTGCAACCTCTGCCTCCCAGGTTCAAGCGATTCTCCTGCCTCAGCCTCCCTAGTAGCTGGAATTACAGGCTCGCGCCACCACGCCCGGCTGATTTTTTGTATCGTTAGTAGAGACGGGGTTTCACCATGTTGGCCAGGCTGGTCTCGAACTCCTGACCTCATGATCCGCTTGCCTTGGCCTCCCAAAGTACTGGGATTACAGGCGTGAGCCACTGTTTCCTTTGTAATTAATAAGTATCTTGGAAAATATGGTGAGATTATGCAAACACACAGTTATTCTTTAAACTTTTGCCCAGTAATTTTAGCATAAATCATTGGATCTTGCCTGCAACAATGATTACTATAGTGTTTTAATGATGATTTTCTATTTATCTCATGCCTACTACACTTACTAATGAGAATTC
>NT_187609.1:0-63982 GCF_000001405.40 Homo sapiens | reverse complement strand
GATCATGAGACCTTCTGGGGACTCCTGGATGCTGGCTCTGAACCGATGCTAACTCTGGAGTCAGACGTCACTGGGTCAGAGTAGGGGCTTATGAAGGCCCAGTGACTGAGGGAGCGTTGGCTCGGGTCCGATCCCAGTGGACCTGTCCCGTGGTCATCCCCGGTTCCGGGTGTACAATTGGAAGAGGCACCCTCAATGGAAGGCAGCGTCCCCCCACAGGAGGGGCAGTGCCTGCAGTACAGGCCACAGTGGAGACCGGGGAGAGGCCAGCCGTGCTGCCAGCCCCTTCAGCCTGCTCACCCCTCACGGAGCTGACTCTGTCACCTGCCAGCCCCTCCGCAGCCCGGTCTAGCAGTCCCTGCTCTGACGTGGAGTCAGTGCCGTGGCAGAGGCCGCTGTCTCCCTTGCTGGCCTCGGACTGCTTGCGTGACCCTGATCTTGGGCGGGACATTCGACTTTCCTCTCTTTGTGCCTCCCTTAGTGGCACCCAGCCTGTCTTCCGGTTGGATGAGGGCACAGGAGAGCCACCCGGGGCGGGCAGGGGATGCTACAGTTGAATGGGTGCTGTGTGCACTGCCCTGTGGGTCAGAGGCCTGACTCCTGGCGCTGCTGGCCAGTGGGCTCTCCGTCTAGAGGTAGGGGCGCGTGGGGCGGGTGCTGGGAAGAGTCAGTGTTGATGAAAGCACCAAGGGCCCTTCGGGGAGGACCGTACCCAGAAGGGGCTTCCTGCTGCTTGCCCCTCCCCCAGCATGTGCTGTGGCAGCCTCCTGTTCTAGCAAATGTCTCCATCTCTGCCCTGCTGGGGGCCAGAACTGAGGCTAGCTGCCAGAATCTCCCTGGAGCTGCGGAGAGCAGGGGGGTGTCTCTCAACCCCTGATTCCAGCTCCCACCCATGCCCTGATTTTTTTACACCTGGACCCCAGTGTGTCCGACGCTGGCCACCAGCTAAAGTGGAGCCCGCTCTGGGGCTGCCCTGGCCACCCAGTGTCTTCGTTGGCTCTCGGGCACTGTCCTAGCCCAGCCTGTGGCCTGCCCACCCCCTAGTCCAGCAGGTGAGAGCAGGCCCGCTGCAGCGACTGACCCCAGTGCAGCAGGTACTCTCCTTAGCCTCATTCTTCTGGGGAGACAAGGGGGACTCAGAGAACGCGATTAGTCTGAGGCCACACAGCTGGGAGAAGCCCTGTGTCCTCTGCCGCCAGGGACCTGAGCCACTCCAGGCCACATGTGGCCGGCTGCCAGTGGCCTCTGATCAGGGTCCTTGTCCTGCCATGCTGAGTCATTTGGTGATGGCGGGTCTGGCAGGGGGTGCACAGGGCTCCCAATACTGTTCTAGGCAGCCAGTTCAGGTCCTCTATGCCCACACCTGTCCCTTTCTGCTTCTCCCTGCAGGAGGAGCAGTGGCTCTGGGAAGGGCTCTGTGGGCAGGTCCTGTGGAAGGCGGCTCTGCTGCGGCAGGGAGGGAGCTGCTGAATGGGCAGCAGGCTTCCCAGGCACAGGGCCAGGCAGGGGCCTGGGCTGTGCTGCCTTCTCCCAGCACTCCCAGCTCTGCACCTGGGGCCAGTGTTTCCCCGAGAGTGGACTCAGGCCCAAGAGCAGACTGGCCTTCGCCTGCAAACTGGGCCCCTGTGTGCAGGGTTTTGTCCCCAGGGCTGTCTACCAGGCTCAGGCCGGTAGCTGGGTGGCTGGAGGCCTGCTGGCGCCTGGGGATCTCAGCCACAGCAGTGCAGGGGTGGTGATCCTGGTGGGGGCTGGGGAGTAGTGCCTCCTGCCTGCATCCCAGGGCCCCAGGCTCATCCAAACATCCATGTTAAGGTGGTGGGCCGGACACAGTGGCTCACGCCTGTAATCCCAGCACTTTGGGAGGCCGAGGCAGGTGGATCACCTGAGGTTATGAGTTCTAGACCAGCCTGACCAACATGGAGAAACCCCATCTCTACTAAAATACAGAATTACCCGGATTACCCGGGCGTGGTGACCCATGCCTGTAATCCCAGCTGAAGGGGAGGACTGCCCCTCCACACCTGTGGGTATTTCCAGTCGGGTGGGACGAGAGACTGAGAAAAGAAATAAGACACAGAGACAAAGTATAGAGAAACAACAGTGGGCCCAGGGGACCGGCGCTCAGCATACTAAGGACCTGCACTGGCACCGGTCTCTGAGTTCCCTCAGTTTTTATTGATTATTATTTTCGTTATTTCAGTAAAAAGGAATGTAGTAGGAGAGCAGGATGATCATAAGGAGAAGGTCAGCAAAAAACATGTGAACAAAAGAATCTATATCATAATTAAGTTCAAGGGAAGGTACTATGCCTGGATGTGCACGTAGGCCAGATTTATGTTTCTCTCCACCCAAACATCTCAGCAGAGTAAAGAATAACAAGGCAGCATTACTGCAAACATGTCTCACCTCCCACCATAGGGTGGTTTTTCTCCTATCTCAGAACTGAACAAATGTACAATTGGGTTTTATACCGAGACATTCAGTTCCCAGGGGCAGGCAGGAGACAGTGGCCTTCCTCTATCTCAACTACAAGAGGCTTTCCTCTTTGACTAATCCACCTCAGCACAGACCCTTTACAGGTGTCGGGCTCGGGGACGGTCAGGTCTTTCTCATACCACGAGGCCATATTTCAGACTATCACATGGGGAGAAACCTTGGACAATACCCTGCTTTCAAGGGCAGAGGTCCCTGCAGCTTTCCACAGTGCATTGTGCCCCTGGTTTATTGAGACTGGAGAATGGCAATGACTTTTACCAAGTATACTGCTTGTAAGCATTTTGTTAACAAGGCACGTCCTGCACAGCCCTACATCCCTTAAACCTTGATTTCATACAGCACATGTTTTTGTGAGCTCCAGATTGGATCAAAGTGGTTGGGTCAAAGTGGCTGGGGCAAAGCTACAAATTAACAACATCTCAGCAAAGCAATTATTTAAAGTACAGGTCTTTTTCAAATGGAGTCTCTTATGTCTTCCCTTTCTACATAGACACAGTAACAGTCTGATCTCTCTTTCTTTTCCCTACACCAGCTACTCGGGAGGCTGAGGCAGGAGAATCGCTTGAACCTGGGAGGCTCAGGCTCAGCCTGGGAGGCTGAGGCTCAGGGAGGTTGTGGTGAGCCGAGATGACACCATTGTACTCCAGCCTGGGCAACAAGAGCAAATCTCCGTCTCAGGAAAAAAAAAAAAAAAAAGATGTGGTAGGGAGGTGGGGGTGGGAGGGGGCAAGTGGGCTCAGGAGGTGGGGGGGGTGCCGGCAAGCAGACTGCTTGAGTGGGGAGACGGGTGAACCGCAGGACCCCAAGGCCCCCTCACATTGAGAGTCCAGGGAGGGATGGCTGTGGGCAAGGTCTGTATGCCAGGTCACCGGAGGAGGGGGTGGTGTTTCCAGCAATGGAGCGTCTGGTGTGGAATCAGTCACCTTACCCTCCCGCTCCTGCTGGGTGATACCCCATCCTTGCGGCTGCCCCCGCGTCTTCCTTGAGGAACAGCAGACTCTGAGGGGGCAGCCCCTTCCTCCCCAGGGCACGGCCTTGCCCCTCAAGGGTTGGGTTCAGGGGCAGCGGGCAGGCCTGGGCACGGCTGGGCCGTCACCTCGGGCGAGGGATGGGGAATAAAAAGGAACTCTGTCTGAGACACCGTGATCCCTCGCCGGGGCCCAGGCCTGGCTCAGAGCAGCCACCAGGAAGCGTCTGCGGCCCGTATGGGGGAACAGACCATACTTCAGACCCTTGCTCAACCACCGCTTTCCGCTCTCTCAGTGGCAGGTGCCGCGCAGAGCCTGGCCCTGGTGGGGCTGTGGCCCCTGGTGGGGGTGGGGGCCGTGGGCAGCTCCCGGGAGGCTCCTACCCGCGGACGGGTCGGCAGGTGGGAGGAGGGGGCGTCCGGTAGGGTCGGCGAAGGCGCCGAGGCCACGTGCAAGCCCCGGCCCTCGAGGCGGCCTCCCGGGCCCGGGCGCGGGACCGTGCGCAGGACTGACCAGCAGGGGGCACGCTCGCTCGGTGCTGCCAGGCCGGGTGGTCTGCGTGCGCAGGCGCGGCGGGGGGCCTGACGGCGCTGCAGTTCCCCGGGTGGCCGCGGGGGTTGCGGCGGAGGCAGCGAGCGTCCGCGCAGAGAAACCGCCTCGGCCACGCCCGCCCTTGGGCCGGTGCTGGGGACCCAGGCCGAGGCCTCTGGTCGTCTGAGGGTGCCAGGGGCAGCTGCAGGGGGTTTGCCGGGCTTCACGAAGTGACCGCTACAGGGAGTGCAGTCGCAGCCACGGGTGCCCCTTCCAGGGTCACCGGAGGACAGAGCCAGGGGCGGGGGCGGGGGTGGCGCGGCCGGTGGGAACGGCAGGCGTGGTTGGGGGCGCGGGTGGAGGCAGGACGCCCCCAGCCCCTTCTTCAGGGCAGCTGCGTGGGACCCAGGCTGCCCGGACCTGGCCCGCCCTCAGGGCTAGATCCTAGGGTTCCACATCCCAGGCCTCTTTCCTCCGCCCACCTCTCCCCGCTACAACCCAGGCAGCTCCTGGCTGCCTTCCCCCAACCAGAGTCCTCTCTGCAAAATAATAACCAGACCAGGTCCCTCCCTCAGAGGTTCCCACAGTCCTTGCCTGCTCTGACCTAGGCTGACCCCACCTCTCCAGCTTGATTTCCTACTCCATAAATGAGATCGGTGTTGTTTATCATAATTACAGTTTGGGGTTGTTTCTTTTTTTTTTTTTTTTTGAGACGGAGTCTGGCACTGCCGCCCAGGCTGGAGTGCAGTGGCGCGATCTCGGCTCACTGCAAGCTCCGCCTCCCGGGTTCACGCCATTCTCGTGCCTCAGCCTCCCGAGTAGCTGGGACTACAGGCGCCCACCACTGCGCCCGGCTAATTTTTTTGTATTTTTGGTAGAGCCGGGGTTTCACTGTGTTAGCCAGGATGGTCTCGATCTCCTGACCTCATGATCCGCCCAGCAGGGCCTCCCAAAGTGCTGGGATTACAGGCATGAGCTACCGCGCCGGGCCTGGTTGTTTCTTCTTGAGAAGGGGGTTTCTCTGTTGCCTGGGCTGGAGTGCAGTGGCATGACCATGGATCACTGCAGCCTTGAATTCCTGGACTCAAGCGATCCTCCCAGGTCAACCTCCCGAATAGCTAGGACTACAGGTGTGCTACTACGCCCCGCTAATTTTTGTATTTTTAGTAGAGACAGGGTTTTGCCATGTTGTCCAGGCTAGTCTGGAACGCCTGGGCTCAAGTGACACTCCCGCTTTGGTCTCCCAAAGTGCTGGGATTACAGGCATGAGCCACTGTGCCTGGCTAATTTTTTAAAAAAACTTTTTGTAGAGACGTGCTCTGGCTTTGTTGCCCAGGCTGATCTTGAATTCCTGGGCTCAAGGGATCCCCCACCTCGGCTTCCCAGAATGCTGGGATTATAGGTGTGAGCTCCTCAGCCCAGTCAATTATGTTGTTGTTACTGCCCGCATCACCTGAACCCAAACCCTTTCACCTGCACCTCCAGGCAAACCAGACCCCACTCTAGAAACACATCCTTGCATTCCTAGAGTTTGTTTTTCCTTCTTCTGTTTTGTCCTTCCACACGCATCACAACCCTTCTAGAAGCTTTTCTTGGGGGCTCTGCCCCAGTGGTCCTCTCCTTCCCCCACAGCAGGGGCCTGGGTGGGCCTCCTCTGTGCATGCAGACTGGGCCCCTGTTACCCTCTTGCAGGCCTCACCCATCCTAGGTCAAGGAGCTCCTCAAAGCCATCAACCACAGCACCTTCATCTCATTCTCTCTCTCTCTTTTTTTTTTTGAGATGGAGTCTTGCTCTGTCGCCCAGGCTGGAGTGCAGTGGCACAATCTCGGCTCACTGCAACCTCCGCCTCCCAGATTCAAGCGATTCTCCTGCCTCAGCCTCCTGAGTAGCTGGGATTACAGGCGCGCGCCATCACGCCGGCTAATTTTTGTATTTTTAGTAGAGAGGGGGTTTCACCATGTTCGCCAGGATGGTCTTGGTCTCTTGACCTCGTGATCTGCCTGCCTTGGCCTCCCAAAGTGCTGGGATTACAGGCGTGAGCCACCATGCCCAGTCTTTTTTTTTTTTTTTTTTTTTTGAGATGGAGTCTTGCTCTTTTGCCCAGGCTGGAGTACAGTGGCACAATCTCGGCTCACTGCAACCTGTGCCTCCCCCGGGTTCAAGTGATTCTTCTGCCTCAGCATCTCGAGTAGCTGGGACTACAGGCATGCACCACTACATCCAGCTAATTTTTTTTTTTTTGTATTTTTATCAGAGATGGGGTTCGCCATGTTGACCAGGCTGGTCTTGAACTCCTGACCTTAGGTGATCCGCCTGCCTCAGCCTCCCAAAGTACTGGGATTACAGGCATGAGCCTCCACACTCAGCCCCAAATATATTTTAAGTGTCTCCTTTTCTCTATCACCAATGCCACCTCCCCAGCCCAAGGCTCAGTCATTCCTCACCTTCAGTACTGTGATAACCTGGTTTAGAACCTAGTTGATTCGGGCCAGGCGCAGTAGTTCGGTCTCCCAAAGTGCTGGGATTACAGGCGTGAGCCACCATGTCTGGCCCTCATTCTGTTTCTTAAATGCTGAGCCCTCGGGGTGCTGCGTACGGCAGCAGCAGATGAAGAAATGTTCACCCACTCACACCACCTGCTCCGTACTCCCCTTCAGGGTTGCACAATCTTGGGAGGGGTGCCAGATGTGTACCCCACATCTACATGGATGTGTTGGCGGTCTGGGGAATGCAGGGTCCTCAAGCCACCTATCACCCTCTCCAGGGCCTGGGCACTAAGGCTGTGGTTAACAGAGCTTGGGGTAAGAAGCCCTGGGAAGAAGGTTGGTGGGGCTTCAGTGACAGAGGGCCAGGAGGCGGCTGGGGAGGGGCTCAGGGTTACCTGTGGATAAGCTTTCTCCACTTCCAACCCCTCACGGCCCTCCACTCCCTGTCTCCTTGTAAAACCTTGGAGGTTATTCATGGTTCAGCCCCTGACTTCCTGTCTTACCGAGTTTCATCTCCAGGACATTTATAAGCTACTCTTGGCTTCGAAGGGTTTGGTGGCTGCAATGCAGGAGAGGGGAGGAGAGGGTGGCCAGAACCAGGTGGGCTGGGTGCCAGGACCCCTGGGGTCTGCTTCCAGCCATGGACTAGGCCTGCTGGCCCTGGGCTTCCCCTTCCACCTCAACTCCATGGCCTTTTTGGTCTCGAAGTCTCTCTCGGAGTATGATTCTTTGCTGGGCCCCAGAACTCCAAGCCGGGGAGCCCCTGGTGTGTATCCAGGTCTAAGGCGAGGGAGGGCAACTGGAGTCAGAGAGAGGACAGCAGTGACCAGCCTGGGAGATGAGGGATGGAGTCCTGGCTCTCGGCCAGAGGGGTGGGGGGAGGGGGAGGGGTTGACTTTGAAGGCTGTGAAGCCTAAGAGGGGCGAGGCAGGGGTGGGGGTTGGGAAGAGGAATTTAGAGCTCTCGGCCTGACTGCAGGTTCTGAGTCCTCCTGAGCGTTGAACCGAGTAAGACAGGCCACATGCCTGTCTGGTCCACTGCGGGGGTGAGGTGCTGCCCCCGGAAGTAGGGCAAATGGAGGTGCCCTTGCTGGGGATCCTGTCTGCTGGCCAGGGGGGACTAACTCTTCAAAAGGGGCTTACAGGCAGGCGCGCACGGTGGCTCGTGCCTGTAATCCCAGCACTTTGGGAGGCCGAGGCAGACGGATCACCTGAGGTCATGAGATCGAGACCATCCTGGCCAACATGGTGAAACCCCATCTCTACTAAAAATACAAAAAATTAGCTGGACATGGTGGCACATGCCTGTAATCCCAGCTACTCGGGAGGCTGAGGCAGGAGATTCACTTGAACCTGGAAGGCGGAGGTTGCAGTGAGCCGAGATCGCGCCATTGCACTCAAGCCTGGGCAACAGAGCGAGACTCCCTCTCAAAAACAAACAAACAAACAAAAAACAGAAGGGGGCTTACAGGCTCCAAAAGTGGTGTGGGGTGTCACTTGGGGCTTTCCACACTGTGTGAAGGTGCCTGGGGCCTGGCTGCAGGCCTCTGAACCCCCCTCCACCTGTGCCCACGTGCACACTCACAGAAGATGTGTACACTCACCAGGGTCCACAGACAGGCACACAGAGTCCCATCTCCTGTGCAGCGCATGGGACTCCTGGGCCTGTGTCCAGTCCCCTTGCTCCTGACGAACATGCTCCTGGTGGCCTTCCAGTCCATGGAGACCATCGACAGGGCTGGACAGACCTGGCCACAGAGGACTCTCTTGGGGTTGATTGAACGCTGCTCTGCCCTCCCCACAGGGCTGGGAGACTTCCATGCCCAAAGGCCTGGCTTAGGGCTATGAAACTGGAGGAGGTGGGGCTGGGGGAGGGCAAGGAGAGCCCTGTTTCTGTGGGACCCTCCTCTTGTCCTGTTCAGATCCACCCTGGAGATAGAGGCACAAATGGGACTACCAGCCTGGAAGAAGGATTGCTACATTGTTTTTTGTTTTGTTTTTTTGGAGACAGTGTCTAGCTCTGTCACCCAGGCTGGAGTGCAATGGTGCAATCTTGGCTTATTGCAACCTCTGCCTCCCAGGTTCAAGCGATTCTCCTGCCTCAGCCTCCCAAGGGGCTGGGATTACATGCACGAGCCACTGTGCCCAGCTAATTTTTGTATTTTTAGTAGAGACGGGGTTTCGCCATGTTGGCCAGGTTGGTCTTGAACTCTCGACCTCAGATGATCACCCGCCTCAGCCTCCCAAAGTACTGGGATTACAGGTGTGAGCCACTGTGCCCGGCCTGATTGCTACATTTTTATAAATTGAACTGGCCAGGCTGGTGGGCAAGAGGCAGTTTGCAGGGCCCAGTTATTCATGGAGGTTGGGGGAGGGAACAGGAAAGAGTAGCAAATCGCCTTCTCTCTGTGCTGATTCCTCCAGGAAGACCCAAGGGAGAGGATTGAGGGTGGCTGGAAGCAGGCTGGGGCCACCCCTCTGCAGGAGAGGATTCTGGCTCCTCTGGCAAACCCTGCAACCCCAGGCAGGCTCCCAGCAGGCAGGGGACTGAAGACAGTGGGGAAGCGTCCTTCCCGATGCTGGGAATCTGGTCTGCCTTGGCAAATCCTGGGAAGCCCCACAACCCTTCTCTGTCACAGTGTCCCTGGGTCACCAGGAACAAGATCCAGGGTTCGGCAAGCCAGGCTTGCTTGCCACCGTGAGGCCAGTGATGCCTTTGTGCTCCAGCCTTGTCTGCAGGGAAGACGGAATTATGAGATAGGTCCTCAGTTTCCCCAGCGCGGGAGCAGCCTCCGAGCACCCCTTCTGTGGCCCCTGCCGCACGTTCTCTGGGTCCTTGTCGTAAAGAACATTCACCAAGCACTTAGGAGCTGGGTACAAAGGGAGGTGGGGGTGAGTGTCAACTTTGTTTAATACAGTAGGGAAGTGAGGATCACAGGCCTGGACTCCTGCTAAGGTCACCCGCTAGGAGGGGGCAGAGCTGGCTGGTTTTTTTTGAGATTGGGTCTTGCTCTGTGGCCCAAGCTGGAGTGCAGTGGTGCAATTATAGTTCACTGCAGCCTTGACCTCCTGGGCTCAAGAGTTCCTCCCACCTCAGCCTCCTGAGTAGCTGGGACCGCGGGTGTGCACCACCATGCCTGGCCAATTAAAATAGTTTTTTTTCTTTAGAGATGAGATCTCCCTATGTTGCCCAAGCAGGTGTCAAACTCCTGGGCTCAAGTAATCCTTCTACCTCAGCTTCCCAAAGTGCTGGAATTACAAGCGTGAGCCACCACGCCCGGCCACAGTGCTGGCCTTGAATCAGCCTTGAAGGTCCCTACAGCCTTTGCTGTTACCGTTGCCCCATCCTAGCAAGGGGCTCCTGCCCCGCCTCGGTCCCCACCAGGGTGAACTGGGAACAGCGGGCCCTCGGGGAGGGTAGGATGGGGGACTGGCCTCTCTGAGGGGCCCCTCCCTGGGAGGGAACCACATCCTTTATGAGCTCGGGCAAATCAGGCATCTGAAGTGGAAAAACCCCACACAAATCAAGGACAGCTGGGCCCGCCCTCTGGCGGCAGCCCCCTCCGCTTGCTCCCCTCGCAGGAATCCTGGCAGGAGGCACGGAGCGGGGCAGAGCCAGTCTCAGGGATGAAGGGTGTGGTTCTCAGGGAGGGAGTTCCTGGAGCTCCTCCTGGCTGTGTGAAATCTACCCTAGCTGTCTTCGGCGGAGGGCGGGGCCGCTAATCACTTTCCAGAGTGGGGCCGCGGTCCTGCCCTCGCTTGTGAGGGCCCAGGCTGGGGCTGCCCACCCCGGGGAGGGGACAGACTGGGAAAGAGGTGGAGAGGGGTGTCAGGGAGGGACACACACAGACACACACACACAGTCACTTAGTTGCTCAACAAACATGAGCTGTCATCCTGGTCAGGCGTGGAGCCACAAAAGGGATCAAGACTGACCCCGTCTCTGCCCTTGTAGAGATCATGGGTAGGTGGAGACAGGGATCAAAATCACCCACAAAGAAATAGTTACAGACTGTGAAGGGGGCACAAATGTAGCCAGGACGCTGGTTGAGGATCTGACGCCGGGCAGGGCATTCCTCCTAGCACGGCCTTGCTCCCCAGGACTCCCCACCTCTTCCCCTCTCCATCCCCTCCTGCCCTGGCCCTCCTTGTCACCTCTCCAAGGGACAACGTTTACTGGGCCCAGCAGCTGGGGCAGCACAGCCCATCTCCCCTCCCAGATCCTCTCCTCCCAGCCACTACATCAGGCCGACCATCCACATGTTCGTCAGCTGGAGGGTGGACAGACCATCTGCCTGGCTGTCTGGCTTATACAGGGGTCAAGATGAGCTCGGGCAGTGTGGACCCTCAAAACCCCTGGGGCCTTGGGAGATCCGGCTAGGCAGAAGGAACTTGTTGATGTCTGTTTCTTGGCGGAGGAGGACATTCAGACAGAGAGCAGGAGGCGAGGGACCCTCTCAGGGTGCAGGGACAGCCCACACCCTTTGTCCCTACAGTCTGGTTGCTCAGGTGTCCTGGGGCAGAGGGAAGGAAGTTTGTGTGTGAGGAGCATGGAGAAGAAGTTCCTGAAATTATCAGATTTAACCTTCATAAGGCACTCAACACAGAGTTACCATATGATTGAGCAATTTCACTCCTAGGTATATTCCCTAGAGACATGAAACGTATGTCCACTCAAAACCGTATACCTGAATGTTCATGGCAGCGTTATTCATAAGAACCCCGCAGTGGAAACAACCTAGATGTCCATCAACGAATGAGGGAATCAACAAAAGGTGGTCCATCCATACGATGGAGTATTACTCAGTCAGGAAGAGGAAGGAGGTACTGGCACATGCCACAGTGTTGATGAACCTGGAGAACATGCTGAGTAAGAGACCCAGACACAAAAGGACGAACATTGTATGATTCTCTTTTTTTTTTTTCATTTTAGAGATGGTGTCTCACTCTGTCTCCCAGGCTGGAGTGGAATGGTGCAATTTCAGCTTCACTGCAACCTCTGCCTCCCGGGTTCAAGGGTTTCTTGTGCCTCAGCCTCCCGAGTAGCTGGGACTACAGGCGTGCACCACCACACCTGGCTAATTTATTATTATTATTATTTGAGATGGAGTTTTGCTGTTGTTGCCCAGGCTGGAGTGCAATCGCGCGATCTCGGCTCACCACAACCTCTGCCTCCCGGGTTCAAGCCATTCTCCTTCCTCAGCCTCCCAAGTAGCTGAGATTACAGGCATGCACCACCACACCCAGCTAATTTTTTGTATTTTTAGTAGAGACAGGGTTTCTTCATGTTGGTCAGGCTGGTCTCGAACTCTCAACCTCAGGTGATCTGCCCACCTCGGCCTCCCAAAGTGCTGGGATTACAAGTGTAAGCCATGGCGCCTGGCCCACACCTGGCTAATTTATGTATTTTTGGTAGAGACAGGGTTTCACCATGTTGGCCAGGCTGGTCTCGAACTCCTGACCTCAAGTGATCCACCTGCCTTGGCCTCCCAAAATGCTGGGATTACAGGCATGAGCCACTGTGACTGGCCATATTTCTTTCTTTCTTTCTTTCTGTTTTAGAGATGGGCTCTCACTCTGTCGCCCAGGCTGGAATGCAGTGGTATGATCATGGCTCACTGCAGCCTCGTACTCCTGGGCTCAAGCGATCCTCCCACCTCAGCCTCCTGAGTAAGCTAGGACTATAGGTGCATACCATCACGCTTGGCAAATTTTGAAATTTTTTGTAGAGACTGGTACTCCCTATGTTGCCCAGGCTGGTTTTGAATTCCCCGCCTCAAGTGAACCTCCTGCCTCAGACTTCCAAAGTGCTGGGACTACTGGTGTGCGCCACTGTGCCTGGCTAAATTTAAAATATTTTGTACAGACGGGGTTCTCGCTTTGTTGCCCAGGTTGGTCTTGAACTCCTGGCTTCAAGCAATGATTCTCTTTTTGTGAAATGTCCAGAATAGGCAAACCCATAGAGACAGAAAGTAGATTCGTGGTTGCCAGGGGCTGTGGGAAGGGGAGAAGAGGGCGTCATTGCTAATGGACACAGGATTTCTTTTTGGGGTGATAGAAATGTTCTAAAATTGATTGTGATTGCACGACTATGAATATACTGAAAACCATTGATTTGCATGCGACAAATGGCTGGATTGAGTGGTGTGTGAATTACATCACAATAAAGCTGTTACTCTTCAGAGACTCATGCGAGTCATGACTGAGGTCTTCATTTTACAAAGGAGGGTCTGGTGGCTCAGAGTTGGTGGGAGCCTGAGGAGGAGGCGGGGCTGGACCAGCCTCAGGCCAGACTCTAAGCCCCGCCCCTGTTCCCGCAGGGCCTTAAGCTCCACCCCATCCTCTACTGCCCGGGCTCTCTGCTGCTGAGCCTTCACCCACACGGTTCCTTGGCCTGGAATGCTGTTCTCCTCGTCTTCACCTGGCCGTCACCTCCAGAAAGCCTTCCCGACCTCTCCTCCCACGTATACCCTTCCACTGAGCGACATTAATGGAATGTCCACTGCGTGCCAGGCTCTGTTAGGTGCTGGGGATCCACTGGTGAATGAACAGCCCCAGTGCTGCCATCCTGGGCGCCCCGAGGTGTGTAGCCACCGTCAGCCGAGTGCCTGATGGAGGGAGGGGTCAGCTTCCAGGAGAACCCTCCGAGCCGACTCCTGGTCCCTGCATCTCTCTCTCCCTGTCCCCAGTCCATTCCACATCCTGCTGTTCTGCGTTCTGGTCAATTCCTCCTGGAAAGTCCTTCTGCCCTCAGCGGGGACTAAGGATAAAGCATCCAGCAGAGAGACGGCAGCGGAAAGGCCAGGAGATGGAAATGACCATGCTGGGCTGGGCAGGGGGCTGGAGGAGCCATCACGGAACCAGTGCTGGAATTTCAAGTCCTGAGTAGGGACTGCTGAGACCGTGGGGATGGCTGAGACTGTGGGGACGGCTGAGACCGTGGGGATGGCTGAGACCGTGGGGACTGCTGAACCTGTGGGGACTCCTGAGACCGTGGGAACAGCTGAGACCGTGGGGACTCAGACCGTGGGGACGGCTGAGACCGTGGGGACTCCTGAGACCGTGGGGATGGCTGAGACCGTGGGGGCTCCTGAGACCGTGGGGACTGCTGAGACCGTGGGGACTCCTGAGACCGTGGGGATGGCTGAGACCGTGGGGGCTCCTGAGACCGTGGGGACTGCTGAGACCGTGGGGACGGCTGAGACCGTGGGGACTCCTGAGACCCTGGGGACGGCTGAGACCATGGGGACGGCTGAGACCGTGGGGACTCCTGAGACCCTGGGGACAGCTGAGACCATGGGGATGCTGAGACCGTGGGGACTCCTGAGACCGTGAGGACTCCTGAGACCGTGGGGACTGCTGAGACTGTGGGGTGGATGCTGCAGGGTGGGACCCCAGCCCCCACCCCGAGCCAGCCCGTTGGGAACAATACCGTTTCAAGCTAGACCAGAAGAAGAATTTCCTGTGACCCAGCATAAGCCAGCATGCTCTCCTCGCATTGTGCCCGCTGCCTGCCCACGGGGCTCCTGCAGAGGCTTGCCCAGATGAGCAGGTGCAGCCCGCATGTCTGGAGCCGGGGCTGGGGGACTGGTCAGTGGTCTTCACCCCGTCAGCCCCGTGTGGCCCCCTCTGGCCAGGGCTGCTGCTGGGTAGGAGCTCCGGAATGTCTGTGGGTCGTGGAGGCCTTCGGCCCCTTGAGGCAGCCCGGCTGCTGGGACTTGTCCAGATGCCATCAGGGCTGGAACGGCTCATTAACGCAGCAGAGCCCAGGACAGGGGCCGCAAGCCCTTGGCTGGGAAGAGGCTGGGCCTCTGCCGGGAGCCTGTGCCGTGCCTGCCTGGCGCCAGCCCTGTGGCCAGGAAGGCTGGGGCAGAGGTGGAGAGAGGACCCGGGTCTCATACCACCTTTGCCTTCGGATGGGGCAAGTTGCTCGCCCTCTCTGAGCCCGGCTCGCCTCCCCTGCCTTCCCTGCAGGCTGCTGCTGGGCGTTGGGGATGTGAAGTTCCCGCAGTGTCTAGCGGCCCCCGCAGGTCCCACCCGAGAGGCCCCTGAATCTCACGCCCCTCAGAGGCAGCCCCTGGGGGAGGTCCTGGGCTCCTTCTCTTCCCCAGCACAGGGGTCCCTGAGTCCTTTGTACTCCAGTGGGGTCCACTTTGCCAGCTTCCGAAATGCATCACTGATGTCTCTGGGCAGTGCCAGGTGGACCAAGGCTGGGCAGATGGGGTGACTTAGTAGACAGAGTATGTCTCAGGCCTGAATTCAGTTCACCACTGGGCCCCTGGGAGGGAAACCTATTTTCTCTGAGCCTGTCCCCTCCATTCTAAAACAGTAACCAGAGGTGACTTGACCTCTCAGCGGCCAGGCTGTGACCCGATGTGTGACTGTCAGCTGGGAGTGCAGGACGCACGCCATTCCCGGCCGCAGACTCCCCCCACACGTTCTGGGATCCCTCTCTGCACACTAGGGTGCTGTCCCGGCCTCTTTCTCCCTTGGCAGGCCGAGTGCCCGGATCGACGCTTTTCCTGGGTCCCCTTGGCCTGGCGATGAGGCTCCCGCTCCTGCAGGCCAAGGCTTGGCCTATGCACCTGCCGCGCACGTCCCGGAGTGGGGTGGGGGGGGAAGGGGATCGGTCTTCAAACAGAGGGTCCCGAGGCCCGCGCGCCGCCCTGTCCCTGCCCTGCGTCCCGAACGGCCACCGCCGCCGCATCCTCCCCGCGCAGAGGTGAAGATGCCGGAGTCAAGCGAGCCAGGGCCTGGGATCTCGGAGCAGGAGCGTCCTGGTGGTCCCGGCAGCTCGAGTCGCGCCCGGGTGGTGGCGGCTGCCGGCGGGTCCAGCCCAGGCAGTGGCCTCGGAGGCGGAGTGGGCGGGGGAGGGGGAGGGGGGAGGGCGTCCAGACCCCGCCCCCGGTCCCGCCCCGCGCCCGCTCCCAGGCTGCGGGACCGCCGGGCGCAGAGCACAAGCCGGGCACCCACGGACTGAGCGGCGCGCGGGCCGAGATGCGCGCCCGCCTGCTGCCCCCGCTCCCGGGCCTGGAGCGGCGCGACCCCATGGCAGGTAGCGGCGGCCTGGGCGGCGGGGCCGGGGGCGGCCAGGGCGCAGGGGCCGGGCAAGGGGCCGCTCTGCGGGCGTCCCGCGCGCCGATGCTGCTCGTGGCCCTGGTGCTCGGCGCCTACTGCCTCTGCGCCCTCCCCGGCCGCTGCCCGCCGGCCGCCCGCGCCCCCGCGCCGGCCCCCGCGCCCTCCGAGCCGTCCAGCTCCGTCCACCGCCCGGGAGCACCCGGCCTGCCTTTGGCCAGCGGTCCCGGCCGCCGGCGCTTCCCGCAAGCGCTCATCGTTGGCGTGAAGAAGGGCGGCACGCGCGCCCTGCTGGAGTTTCTGCGGCTGCACCCCGACGTCCGCGCGCTGGGCTCTGAGCCCCACTTCTTCGACAGGTGCTACGAGCGCGGCCTCGCCTGGTACCGGTGAGCACCCTGGCCCGTCCGCCCTGACCGGCGCCTTCCTGGGGAGGGTATCGTGCGCCCCAGGGAGCAGCGGCACGATATCCTGCCTCCCAGGGAGCAGGGGTGCGCTCCGGGCAGTGGGGTTGGGACCGCCCTGTGGGGGCCCCAGGCTTGACCTGGGGTCCCGGCTCCGGAAGAAGGAATGATACTTGGCTAGGATTCCCTGAAACTTTGAAAACTGTGGGGAAAGCCCCGGTTCCGTTCTCTCTGCTGAGGGACCCAGCAGGACTGGGGGAGGCGGTGGCTTCCCAGCCCAGAGGTCGTTTCCAGCCCGTGGGATTACCTGGCAGCGTCAGAAATGCCTCTGCCGCCCGCTCACTCTGGGCACTCAGGTGTGACCGACCGCTGGCCAGGTACTGTAGAAAGGGGCCTCCAGGTTCCAGGCAGCCACCTAGAAAGCGTCCTTCCTCCCCAAGACCCCCGAGTCTGCGCACAGGAACCCTTGTTGGTGGTCCTGGGAGTCCGGAGAAAGTCTGGGCTTTGGAAAGGAGGAGACTGCCTTTAGGTGAGTGCCCAGGGTGAGTCCAGCCCCGTGCATGGGGCTCTGTGGCTGTCCTGCCTCTACCCAGGATGGACGTGGGGGTGCGGCAGCCTCAGCTGAAGCAGCCCGCGCTGGTGGCTGCTCATCCCCAAGCTTGGACCCAGCGCCTGCAGAGAGGACCCTGCCCAAGGCCAGTTGGGGAGTCAGTGGGGGTGGCAGGACCCAGACGCTTCTCCAGGTGCTCCAGTTTCTCCGTTCCCGATCCTCTGATCCTCTTCCTTCCCTGACGCCTACCCCTATTTGTTAACTTTGCCTTTTGTACTAAAACTACTCTTGGGTTTGGAGGGCAGGCAGGAAGGGGCTCCGTGAGAATAGGGTGGCTCGCTTCTGAGATCTGAAGGGCTGGTGCCAGTGTGGGGTGCTGGGGAAGTCAGGTGGTGGCTAGGGGACATGGAGTCCATCCCGGGGCTCACCTGGCTGAATTGGGCATCCTCAGCTCAGGCTCCAGGGAGAGACCTCACTCCCCTGACGGCAGGCAGGGGTCAGAATGCATCCCTAATCCCTGCTGCAGGGAGGAGGGTAGGAGGGGCTACCAAGCTAGAAGCTGGGGAGGAGGGGAGTGGCGAGACGGGGGAGGAGGGGAGAGGCGGGAGGGGGAAGGGGAGAAAGGGCTTTGGGTTAAGGATGCACAGTTAACTGGAGTAAACACTTCAGAGCCACCCCTGAGCCCCATGAGCTTTGACAGCAAGAGACTGGGGGTGGGATCTGAGCTGGGCCGTGAGGAGCCACAGGGGAAGCTAGGGTTGGGTTTAGCCCTAAAGGGTTCTGGAAGAGCCCAGGCTCCTGAGGCCAGTCCAGGCCCGCCCTGGGCATGTGTCCAGCGCTGGGGGATCAGTTTGGGGAGGATGAGAGGCAGCCAAGGCCAGGCCCAACTTGGGAGTCAGCTCCTTAGCCTGGGGGTGGGGTTCCGGGGACACTGACGTGCCCAGGGTTGGAGGGGGGTACAGGAGAGTGACTGCTCTGGTAGATTCTTGACGTCCTCATTTTTTAGAAGGGGGAGGGGTGGGTGTGGAGAATTCCAAGGGGTCAGTCCCGTGGCTTCTGCCTCATTAATCTGGTATTGTCCCTTGGACCAACTGTGCTGACCCCTCACTGGGCGGTGCAGAGCCAGTAGAGCTGGGCCTGCTGAGCTTCCGCATTGCAAGTGTCCTCATGCTCTCCGAGGGGCCGTGGCCACGTGGGGCTGGTGTGCTCCTAGGTGCCTGTGCCTCCGTCCTTTCAGCCTGCTAGGAGCCTGCAATGAGCCTCTGAAAGTTCTCACCCTGTCTCAGTTTCCCCAACTGCAAGGCAGCATTGTCTGCTCTTGAGACCCTGGACTGGGCCCCCAGTGCCTGCAAGCTCTGTTCTGGGTGCCGACGCGGGGAGGCGAGCAGAGTAACCAGGGCCCCCAGTTGAGTCTCCGGGCCACGGCTCCCACTGGGCTGTGACCGACCTAGTTCCAGGCGGTGACCCGGCCTTCCTGTGGCCTCGGCAGTTGGGTCCTGGATTGACTTTGGCCATAGGCCCTCCTTCCCTCCTCTCCACCGTCAGTCAGCTCATCCAGGCTCTTGAGGGGCCTCCCACTTGGGGACTGTAGCCCACTAGTGCCCCCGAGCTCAGCACATGCTCAGCCGTTCCCCCACTAGTGAAGCACCTGTGTCTGCCAGGTGTGGGGGTCACGCAGACTCCCCAAGGTCTCGATCTGGGAAGGGTGCCCTGTCTGGGGGCAAATGGGGGCTGTACTTTGACCATCATCTTTTAGAAAAGCAAGAGGAGGGTGGGGCACAGTGGCTCACGCCTGTAATCCCAGCCCTTTGGGAGGCTGAGGTGGGCAGATTACCTGAGGTCAGGAGTTTGAGACCAGCCTGACTAACATGGTGAAACCCCATCTCTACTAAAAATACAAAAATTAGCCAGGCGTGGTGATGGGTGCCTGTATTCCCAGCTACTTGGGAGGCTGAGGCAGGAGAATCGCTTGAACCCGGGAGGCAGAGGTTGTAGTGAGCTGAGATTGTGCCACTGCACTCCAGCCTGGGCGACAAGAGTCAGCTGGAGTGCAGCTCTGTCTCAAAAACAAACAAAACAAAAGAAAAGCAAGAGGAGGCAAGGAGCGGGGTGGGTAGGGGAACCCCTTAGTTCCTGGTTTGCAAGAGCAGTGGGTGCAGGGAGTGGGGTCTGAGTATGTAGTGGGGAAGAACCCGGTCTCCTGTGGGGGATGCAGTCCCCCTGCACTTTCTGGCTTTGGCATCTGCCAGGCCCTTTTGGCATCTGCGAGTCCCAGGCCTGAGGTGTGGGGCAGGAGGAGGGAGGCTGAGATGGAGGAGGGAGGGTCGCCCAGGGCTGGATGAAAGCCGCAGGGAAATGCACACCAGATGAGGTGGGCTCCACAAGGAGGGGGGCAGTCCTCAGAGCAACTTGTCAGATGTTTGTCACACGGGGGTCCAGTCCTGCTCCTCTCCCTCCTCCCCCGTCTCTCCCACCCTCATCCACACCTGGGCTAGGATAGGCTTCGGATGCCTGGGGAGGGAAAGTAATTGATCCCAAAGATCTCCGATCTCTGAGCTGGTTTGTGCAAGAGGGGGCCTCGAAAGCCCTTGCCGCCTGTCTGTGTTCCCACTCCCCTTCCACGGCAGGGGGTCCGGGAACCCCATCCCCCTACGGAGCTCCCTCTGACTCTTTGGAGAGAAGGCCTGGCAGGGTGAACTTTCCTGTTTTGGTGCTGGTCCCTCCAGCAGGCAGGAAGAGGAGGATATTCAGAGTCACTGGTGTGCCATCTGGGAAAGGAAAGGGGTGGGCTCCTGGTCTCGCTTGGTGCCTGGGGTCAGTATGCCCGAGACGGGAGGGAAGGGCCTGGGGCTTCCTTCCTGGCCGAGGGGAAAAGCAGGCAGTGACTTCTCATGAGGCCTGGGGTCTTTCCCCTCCCAGCACTGGCCTGGTTTCTCTCTATGGGCATCGTCAGCGAGGTCCCGTGGTGGGGGGTGGTGCCTCCCCTTCTTGACCTCTCTCAGGGACGGGGGTGCCCCTGAGCTGCCAGGCCTCAGACCTTGGTACCGCCACCACCCAAGGCCTCTGTGTTTGTCCCTGGGACGCTGGGTGCGGCTCCCACGCGGGTTCCAGCTGCAGGAGGTGGGGCGGGGAGTGCAGGGGCTCTGGGACTGACACCACCCTTCCAGGTGGGCTGGAAGGAGGCAGCCCTCCAGGGTGGGAAGAGGGAGGGCTGAGCCCCACGCTCATCCCCAGCACCCCTGCCCCTCCCAGTCTCCCTGTGGCTGCTTCTGAAGTGGCAGTGGGTGGGTGGAGGGAGTCCCAGCTCCCTCTGTCACCAAGACGGAGGAGGACTTGTCCGGTATCGTCTGTAGGCCAGCTCTGCCCAGGGCCTGGTTCTGCGGGGTGGGAAGGCTCCCGTGCCGCCCACCCCTACTCTGCACCGCTCATGGTGGGTGTTGTGGGGGAAGCCTGGATTCTCTCCCGCTGCCTCACACATCCTCCCTCCCACCTCCAGCGCTCTCCACCGAGCACCCCACTGCAGGGGTCTGTGCAGCTGCCTCTGGCCCAGCCTGCGTTTCCCTGGGGGTCTGAGCAGGAAAAGGGGACTCAGAACCTGCCTCCCAAGGGCTCAAGTCTGGGGCGGTCACTCCTGGCAGGTCAGCCTCCTGGCAGGGGCCGGTCCTGGGGCTGTCAGCAGGGGTGGGGGAAGCCCCCTCAGAGGGCAGGAGTCAGGGCTGGGCGTGACTGGCAAGGCATCCCCTCCCTAACACAGTCCCTGTGTTTCTATCGACCTAGTTCCCAGCCCTCCCCAGCTCTCCCTCCGAGCTGTTTGCTCAGCTGACCTACCACGCCCTGCCCTGCCCAACCTCACCCTGCACTACCTGGCTGGCAGGTGCTGCCCGGGGCACTGCTGGGGGTGCCTGGGCCTGCCCGGGCTGGGCACCCAGAATGGGCTCTCTGCCCAGGTGGGACAGTCCTGGGCTGTGGTCGGCTGATTCCCCCGGGACCTTGGGACTGGGTCAGTGCCCTCCTCTCCTGTGTCAGAATGAGGAGAATCTCAGAAAGGCCCCCTCCCTGGCCTGGCACCCTGGCAACCTGCAAGATCTAGGGGGCCACAGCGGCCCAGGGTCTTGGGAAGGATCCTCCGGCCGGCGCCGCCACGTCTCCGACTTTCCTCACATGTGCTGGGCTCTGCTGGTAACTTTTTGGCCTGCTGAGTCCAGGCCCAGGCTGATGAGAATTCACAGGGCTACAGTTAAAGACGGGGAGAGAGGCCAGCCGCAGTGGCTCACGTCTGTAATCCCAGCACTTTGGGAGGCTGAGGCAGGCGGATCACCTGAGGTCAGGAGTTCGAGACCAGCCTGGCCAACATGGCGAAACCCCGTCTCTACTAAAAATACAAAAATTAGCTGGGTGTGGTGGCGGGCACCTGTAATCCCAGCTACTCCGGGGGCTGAGGCAGGAAAATCGCTTGAACCCGGGAGGCAGAGGTTGCAGTGAGCCGAGATTGCACCACTACACTCCAGCCTGGGTGACAGAGCAAGACTCCGTCTCAAAAAATAAATAAAGATGGGAAGAGATGTAATTACATCAGGGGAGGGAGGGAGCAGGGAGGACTACTTTTGGTTGAGGACACACTGTCAATAATTGGTGAAGGGCTGATTTAGGGGATGCTGTCAGCCACTGAGTGAACGGGTGACCTCAAGTGATCTAGGCGGGCGGGCCTCGGGGTACTTGGTCTGGGATGAGAAAGGAGCTGGGGGCAGCCTAGTTCCAGGAAAGTGTGGGTCCGGTGGGAGGGAGCTGGCTCTGGAAGCGAGGACGGCAGGGATTGCACAGGGAAGATATGTGGGTGGTGAGGAGCATTTGGGCCTCCCGACCAGCGACCGTCACCCTAATCCTCAGTGCAGCAGCAGGCGGGGCAGGCCGGCGGAACAGGCCGGGCTGCAGGCAGGTGCCGGGCTGGGCACCCTCACAGTCCATGTTCCAGGCTGCCCAGCCGCGCACGCTAGCAGGGGTGGGCCCGAGCAGGGAGGAAGACTTGCTCGCCCTGGAGGCCTGGGCTTCCCGGGCATAAGGGGGCCTTGGTCCCGGGCCCCTGGGGGCCGGTCTAGGGCTGGGGAGGCTCAGGCCCCCTCTCCTTGCACCCGTCCCGCAGGAGTCTGATGCCCCGAACCCTGGATGGGCAGATCACCATGGAGAAGACCCCCAGCTACTTCGTGACGCGAGAGGCCCCCCGCCGCATCCACGCCATGTCCCCGGACACGAAGCTGATCGTGGTGGTGCGGAACCCCGTGACCCGGGCCATCTCCGACTACGCCCAGACGCTCTCCAAGACCCCGGGCCTGCCCAGCTTCCGCGCCCTGGCCTTCCGCCACGGCCTGGGCCCCGTGGACACAGCCTGGAGCGCCGTCCGCATCGGCCTGTACGCCCAGCACCTGGACCACTGGCTGCGCTACTTCCCCCTGTCCCACTTCCTGTTCGTCAGCGGGGAGCGTCTGGTCAGCGACCCGGCCGGAGAGGTCGGCCGCGTGCAGGACTTCCTGGGCCTGAAACGGGTCGTCACGGACAAGCACTTCTACTTCAACGCCACCAAGGGCTTCCCCTGCCTCAAGAAGGCCCAGGGCGGCAGCCGTCCCCGCTGCCTGGGCAAGTCCAAGGGCCGGCCACACCCACGCGTGCCCCAGGCCCTGGTCCGGCGCCTGCAGGAGTTCTACCGGCCCTTCAACCGCAGGTTCTACCAGATGACGGGCCAGGACTTCGGCTGGGGCTGAGCGGCACCCTGGGGATGCTCAGCACCTTGATTGACACCCGCTCGCCTGGCCAGAGCGGGCTGCGTGCACATGCTGGGCAGAGAGGAATATTTAAGAAATAAAGCTTGGACCCAGATTTTTCCACAAACCTCGAGGTTGGAGGGTGGAGGCGCTGTCCCCAGGGATGTGGTAACCATATCAGCGAACTCCACTGGGCACTGACTGTGTGCCTCGTGTCGCACTTTTTTTTTTTTTTTTTTTTTGAGATCGAGTCTCGCTCTGTCGCCCAGGCTGGAGTGCAGTGGCGTGATCTCGACTCACTGCAAGCTCCACCTCCCGGGTTCACGCCATTCTCCTGCCTCAGCCTCCCGAGTAGCTGGGACTACAGGCGCCCACCACCACGCCCAGCTAATTTCTTTTTGTATTTTTAGTAGAGACGGGGTTTCACCGTGTTAGCCAGGATGGCTACGATCTCCTGACCTCGTGATCTACCCGCCTCAGCCTCCCAAAGTGCTGGGATTACAGGCGTGAGCCACCGCACCCAGCTATTTTTTTTTTTTTTTTTTTTTTGAGATGGAGTCTTGCTCTGTCACCATGCTGGAGTGCAGTGGTGTGATCTCAGCTCATTGCAACCTCCGCCTCCCAGGTTCAAGCAATTCTCCTGTCTCAGCCTCCCAAGTAGCTGGGATTACAGGCGTGTGCCACCACACCTGGGTAATTTTGTGTTTTTTTTTTTTTTTTTTTTTTTTTTAGTACAGACAGGGTTTCACCATGTTAGCCAGGATGGTCTGTATCTCCTGACCTGGTGATCCACTCGCCTTGGCCTCCCAAAGTGCTGGGATTACAGGCGTGAACCACCACACCCAGCCAATTTTAATTTTTTCTTAGGACAGAGTCACCCTCTGTGGCCCAGGCTGGAGTGCAGTGGTGTGATCTCAGCTCACTGCAGCCTCCACCTCCTGGGTTCCAGCGATTTTCCTACCTCAGCCTCCCAGGTAGCTGGGATTACAGGCATGCGCCAACATGCCCAGCTAATTTTTTTTGGTATTTTTAGTAGAGATGGGGTTTCACCATGTTGGCCAGGCTGGTCTCGAACTCCTGACCTCAAGTGATCCGCCCATCTTGGCTTCCCAAAGTGCTGGGATTACAGGCAGGAGCCACCACACCTGGCCCAAAACTCATTCTTTATACACCCTCAGAGGTGGGCAGTGCGCCTGGTCAGGTCTAGCCTGTGAGCTCGGAGAGGCGTAGGGCCCGCCCAGCGACATGCAGCTTAGCCCTAGTGATGCTGGGGGCCATGCTCAGGCTCTCTTCTCAGCCCTGGGAGGCTGGGCAGGGCTGTCCTCATGTTCAGGATGAGGAAAGTGAGGCTGCAGGCCTCGCTGTGGAGTGGTGGGGCAGGATTAAAGTCGGGTCCGCACCCACCACCTTGGCTCATCCGGAATCCAGGTGCGCAGTGGACGCTTCCTTCTGGAGCCTTGTGGAATTGCCTGAGTGTTGGTGAGGTCAGCGAGTGTTGGGTGTGTGCACAGGGAGACGGATTAATAGCCTCTTAGCCTTCCCTGTAGAGGCCCACCCATTCAGGCACCACCCACTCTCTGGCCCCACCCACTCCCCCAGGCCCCTGCTGCCCCAGTTCCGTGGTATTTGTTCTGTGCCCTCCCCTGGGGATAGGGCTGGGATCAGTGGCCATCTGCAGTCCAGCTGCCCGCTCATAACTGAGGCCAGACTCAGGCAGGCTGGGGTGCCCTGTCCGCCCCTGTGTCCTGGGAGTAGGAGGGACTCCTCAGTAATGACCCTCACCTGCTTGTGGCCACGTGCTGTCTGCCAGGTGCCCACCAGCTGCCCTGACGATGACCTCCGGGGCTGCTTGGGCTTAGCCCCAGGTCTGTCGCAAGGCCTAGCTGTGGTCTCCACAGCCCCGCTGAGTCCCACAGGCCCTGATATGGTCTTTCTGCCTCTCAGCTACTTGGAGCCACTCCCTGTTTTGGGAATGCAGGCAGTGAGGAAGGATTTGCAGGAGGGGCTGCGTCTGGACACCCACCCCGCCTCCTGCTAGTTTCTGGGCCCAGTGGACACTCTGCTCTGCAGCTGCCCTGAGGGGCAGGCACTTCCCACAGGCCTCTCCATCCCAGGCCAGGACAGAGGCAGGGCTGGAGGCCGGTTCTGAGCTCCCCTCCGAGCACCCACCCAGAGACTGCAGTGGCAACATGGTGGGCAGATGTGGGCCCAGATGTGGACAAGTCACAGGCACAGCCTCCGTCCTACCTCGAAGCTCTGATGTGGGTGGAGGGGAAAGGGCCCCCCCGACTGACAGCAGCTTTGGGAAGAGGGAACAGACTCCACCTCGGATCCCTGCCAGGAGGGGATCACTGGGCTGGGCTGCTCTGTCCCCACCCCCTGCACGGGTGCCCTCTGTGAAGACCGGGCCAACTGCCTGCCCCAGGCCTGGGGGTGGGAAGGAATACAGGACAGCCCCTGGCCCCTGGTGACCCAGTTCCCAGCCCGGTGCATGTGGATTTCTTCTTCCTGGACACACCCTTCTCATGCCTGGGCCGTTTCAGGGGCTGCTCACCATCATCCCACCACCTCTTTTGTTCTACAGTGAGCTCTCCGCATGGCAGCTGGAGGGCCGTCGCGGAATAAACCAGATCCTATTGTTTTAAAACTCTCTGATCCCCACCTTTTCCCCTTATTGCTTCTAGGATGAAAACCAAACTCCAGATCACAGCTGTTACAGCCCTCTACGGCTTGCCCCTCCGTCCTACATGCGCTCCTTATTCCAGCACGCCCACCACACTGGCACCTGCCAGCTCCTTCCACCTGCCGTGGCCTGTCCAACCTCATGGGCTTTGCATGTGCTATTCCCTCTGTCTGGAATGCCTTTCCCTGCAGAAGGTGCTGACGGGATGGAGGGGCAGCTGCTCTCACTGAGGCTCTGCTACTTTCCTCCCTCCGTTTAGAGTTCCTTTTCTGAGTCCACCAAATGACCCCATTGTTTCCGTCCCGACACAGAGCTGTGAGGGGTGGGGCACTGGTTTGGCTGGCTTTGGGGCCTGAACCCAGGGCCTGGGGGGGCAGACTCTGGAAGCAGCGAGGGGTGGGCTGGCGTATTCTGCACCCGCTGAGCAGGAACTCCGCCTAACCACCAGCACTCAATGCGGGTGAGGTGCCCAGCTGGGCCTCCGAACACACGGAGGGCAGATGTCGGTGGGGACCTACGGGCTGCGTGCAGGGAGGCGCTCCCTGGGAGAGTCATCAGCCTTTAATTAAAGTCCCTAAATTGCTTCCCCAGCCGCTCCGTGGGTTTTCCATGTTGGAATGTTCCAGATGGGGCGAGAAGCGCTGATTCAATTACCCTCTTCCTGTTCCGCCCGGTGGAGGGGAAGGGGCCTGGGAGCCCATCTCCAGCCCTCCTACCCCAGCCAGACCAGGATGGCGTGGGCCACGGGTTGGGGTCCTCACAGCCCTGGGAGTCCAGGAAGGGGCTCGGAGAAGCCTGGGGAGGAGGCTGCTTCCGCCTCGAGGGTTCTCACAAAGCCCCTGCCCTCCTGGCCTGCTGGGATGGGTGGGTGGGACCAGGTGGCCGTGCTCTCCGCCCTAAGCCTTGCACACACGGGCATGGAAGCCCTGAGCATGCCCTGGTCCCAGCAGCCCAGCCCCAAAGGGGACACAGGGAAGGGTCAGCCCCTGCACCCACCCTCTCCACAGGCCTGAAAATATTTATGAAGCCCCGTCGTAGAGGAAGAGAGGAGACTAGAGAGGGCCAGCAGCTTGCCCGCCTCTCACTGCACCAGCGCTTCCTGCGAGGCCCAACCCTGGGGAGCTCTGAGATCCCCCGTGTGCAGGGAGTCGGCACGTGGGGGCAACCTGGCTCCCTCCCTCCCCTGGGGCAGGGGTCCTCACTGGGTTGATCGCCTGACTGGGGGGTCCTCAGAGCTCAGTTGGGGCTGCTGACCCCTGCCCTCTGTGGGGGGACAGGCCTGGGGCCCCTGGTTCTGGACGGCCTCTCTGCCTGGGGCATGCCTCTCTGCCCGGGGCATGGGGCTGGAGGGTCAGGGTGAGGCGGGCTCTGGCTTCCTCCCTCCCGGGCTCCTCAGTGTGGCCGTGCAGGGCAGAGCCAGGGAAGGGAAGGGGAAGCCGGCCTCCGGGGTGAAGCCTGGATTATGGGGTGCCATGTGGGCAGCGCCTGTGAGTCCCCTTTGTCCAGGAGGAGGGGTGCTTTGGGGAAAGGCGTGTTTCCCCTGGGCCATGTGGCCAGATCTAGAGGCCCCTCACAAGCCTGAGATGGTCTAGATCCCAGGCTCCAGGAGGGGGCCGGGCCACAGGTGAGAGGGGCTTGAGTGACTTAAAATGAATTGAGTCCCCTTGGAGCTCCTGTCCTCACTCCTTTCCTGGCTCCCCAGGCCTGAGCCCCTTCTCCTATCTGCCAGACTGTCCCGGGCGCCTTGTTCCCCTAAGGAGCTGCGGGGTTGTGATTTCCACATGGGTCCCTCTGCAGGGGCTCGGCCATGGCCCAGGAGAGGCCAGGGACCCCATGAAGGCCTGAGATGCTTTCTCCAGGGCGGCCACAGCAGCCCGCTGCTACACTAGTCTCTGTCCCTGCAGAAGCTATGCAGGGAGGGGCTGCAAATTTGCTGACCTCAGGAATGTGGTGTTTCATTTCTGCGAGATGCTCCCTTTCTAGAAGGTTCCTCTCAAACTGGCAAGGGCTGACTTCTGAGGTCTCTGTCATTGGGACCAACACTTATGCTGGAGGGTGAGGTGGAAGGCAGGGGTGCAGGAGCAGCCTCGGGTTCCTGGATGAATCCGTTTTATTCTGCTTTATCCATTGTAGCCCTGGGGGCAGCTCTGGGCAGCCGGGAGCCATCAGTGCCCCTGGGCAGGGCCAGCGCCAGCGCCCCTGCAGGAAGTCCCCACTCCTGAGGCCCAGACTCCTTTCGTGTCCTCAGGGGCTCTCGGGTTCTGAGCTTGCCCTTCCTGTGTCCTGCATGCCTGCCTTATTCCCTTGGCTGGCACGTGAGCCCCTCCTCCGTCTGTGCTCCCGGGTGCAGCGCTGAGGCTCTAGGAGTCGGGGTGGAGCCCGACTGAGGGTCTGGAGAAAGAGGAGGAGGCTCAGGGACAGTGGCTGAGAGAGCCCCACAGTGGACTTCCTTCCACCAACAGGCACCCAGGGCTAGAGTGTGTGCTTCTGAGAACTCACAGGGCAAGCTGGGGGGACCACACGGAGGCCCAGCATTGGCGAGACGAGCGAACCGCCCAGCTGCCAAGAAAGCAAAGCATGAACTGCAGAGGGACACGGCACAGGGCTGGGGCGGGGAGCTGAAGCTGGGAAGAGCCCCGGCAGGAGAGCCTGGTGCAGAGATGACGTTTACCTGCACCCTGGAGTGGGACCAGCCATGACGGTCAGGCAGACTGCCAGTGCATCAAGGTGCCGGGGAGACGGACAAATGGGGTGGGGTGATGGAGGCTGGCTAAGAAACATTCTGGGCCGGGCGCGGTGGCTCACGCCTGTCATCTCAGCACCTTGGGAGGTTGAGGCGGGCGGATCACTTGAGGTCAGGGGTTCGAGACCAGCCTGGCCAACATGGCGAAACTCCCTCTCTACTAAAAATACAAACATTAGCCGGGCATGGTGGCCTGTGCCGGTAATCCCAGCTACTTGGGAGCCTGAGGCAGAATCGCTTGAACCCAGGAGGCAGAGGTTGCAGTGAGCCGAGATCGCACCACTGCACTTTAGCCTGGGCAACAGAGTCAGACTCCATCTCAGAAAAAAAAAAAGCAAAGTGGGGACGGAAGGGCTGGCCCAGGTGGCATAAGGGACCCACTTTTCCAGCACGCTGGATAGGGCACATCTGAGCCCCACTGCGCTGCTGGGGCACTTAGTATTTCTGAAGGCAAGAGTTTTGTTTCCTGACTTAGAATTCTCTGCAGATACTGCCTCAAGATGGTTCTTTCTCAGGACTATCCATCTGACAGTGAAGATCCTGGGCCCAAAATGAGGGAATGAGGGCCAGAGACCTAGGTTAAAAACCAGGATCTCAAAATGCACCCTCCAGATTTTAATTTATGTAGCCAAGGTGTGTAGTAGGCTATGCCATATAGGATTTTTGGTTTTTCTTTTTCTTTTTCTTTTTCTGAGGAGTTTCGTTCTTGTTGCCCAGGCTGTGAGTGCAGTGGCGTGATCTTGGCTCACTGCAACCTCTGCCTCCCAGGTTCAAGCGATTTTCTTGCCTCAGCCTCCCGAGTAGCTGGGATTACAGGCGCCCACCACCATGCCCAGCTAATTTTTGTATTTTTAGTAGAGACAGGGTTTGGCCATGTTGGTCATGCTGGTCTAGAACTCAAGACCTCAGGTGATCCACCCGCCTTGGCCTCCCAAAATGTTGTGATTACAGGGTGAGCCACTGCGTCTGGCCTTTTCTTTTTTCTCTGTAGAGACAGGGTCTTGCTCTGCCGCCCAGGCTGGAGTGCAGTGGTGCTATCGCAGCTCAGTGCAGCCTTGAAGTCCTGGGTTCAAGCAATCTTCCTGCCTCAGCTTTCTGAGAGTTGGGGCTACAGGCACGTGCTACCACGCCTGGCTAATTTTTTCTATTTGTTTCTTTTTGTAGAAATGGGGTCTCGCTCTGTTGCTCAGGCTGGTCTCAAACTCCTGGGCTCAAGTGATTCTCCTGCCTGAAGTCTCCCAAAGCGCTGGGATTGCAGGCGTGAGCCGCTGTGCCTGGCCATCTAAATTCATGCCAGTGAACTCTGTGATGTTTTCATGACACAAAGTCACCTCATGATGCATTTTTCAGACCATAACCTGTCGTTAAGTGAGGCACTTAATTGGAGGAGGGTGTGTGAGGCACTTAATTGGAGGAGGGTGTGTGAGGTGTGAGGCACTTAATTGGAGGAGGGTGCATGCTGGGCTGGGCTGCCCGGGGCCAGTGCAGGGAGCTCCAGGGCTGGTCAGGAGCAGACACGAGCCAGGCAAGCCAAGGTCAGAGCCTTTCCAGGGGTTTCCAGGGGAAAGGCAGGGCAGGGCGGGGAAATAGCTTGGGCCTGGTCAGTCTGAGTAATTCCGGTGGGCTCTGGGACCTCGGCTCTCCCTACTTGTTTGGTGCTTGGCCCTTGGTGACTGAGGGCAGGGGACATGAGCTTGTGGTGTGAGAGTTAGATAAGGAGGTGGTTCAGAGGCAGGTTCTGGAGGGCAGGGAAGATAGAAACAATGTAGCTGTTAGTTCGGCCCTGTGATTAATGGATGCCAAATGGACAAATGCCGCATCTGAGAAAACACACAACACCAGGCTTGTGTCCAAGGCTCTGTACCGGAAGCCATTCCCTCTGTAGCCCCGGCCCCTTGCCAAACCATGGACCGCAGCCCCCGTCCCGGGGACGCGTCTCAGATGTGAACTGTGCTCAGGTTCATTCTGGTCCCAGGGCTGGGCCCATGTTGGTAGGGGGCGGCCCCTCCCTGAGCAGGGCTGGTCCTGCCATACCCCATCCCACTGGTGGTCTCCCAGGGCGGGGGCAGGGAGTCCAGGGAAGACCGTGGGTGAGTTGGGGGCATGGCTTGTGCCGAGCACGCTGGCCTGGGTAAAAGAGGTTTGGTCAAAACCCTGGGTGGGTGAGGATGGATATGCCAGGCAGGGCCCACGGTGGTCCCTGGAGGCTGCCTGTCTGCTGGGGTTCACAGGCAGGGCTCCACCCTCTGGACCAGGGTGCCAAGCCCTGCATCTCCACCTGGGCTGGGGGTAGGTCTTGGCTCTCAGAGGACTCCGGCATGGCGGCCACTGGGGAAACAGGACAAAGAGCAGACCACCGAGGCCACGGAGACCCTCAGGTGCATGTGCCACCTGCAGACGATACCCTGCTCTGGAGCCCTGGGGCCTGGACGTTCAGCCCCACCTCTTTTTTTTTTTGAGACAGGGTCTCACTCTGTCGCCCAAGCTGGAGTGCAGTGGCGCGATCTCGGCTCACTGCAACCTCTGCTTCCTGGGTTCAAACGATTCTCCTGCCTCAGCCTCCCGAGTAGCTGAGATTACAGGCGCCCGCCACCATGTCTGGATAATTTTTGTATTTTCAGTAGAGACGGTGTTTCACCATGTTGTCCAGGCTGGTCTCGACCTCCTGACCTCAAGTGATCCGCCCACCTCGGCCTCCCAAAGTGTTGTGATTACAGGCGTGAGCGGGCCAGCCCCACCTCTTGAGGAACGATGAGACTCTTCTGATGCAGTCGCCAACAACGAGCGCTGCTGAGGCTTCCAGGGACATACAGGACAAGATCCTCCCTCTCAAAGCCAGGCTCTGGCTCGGAGGCAGAGGAATTCCTTTCATGCTGCCTAATCTCAGCCACATTGTGTATGGTTTTCACTGGAGAAGCCCCCGAAAACAGTCGGTCAACCAAAACAGTTAACACAAAACTATTGCCAGAAGGATGCCATACTCAAGTGTTCTGATGACGGGAGGCAAGCTCCACCGTGGGGCCGCAGAGAACAATTGTGGATCTTGTTCTCCTGGTCTCTGCTCCCAGCACTCCGTGAGCGGGCCCCGCGTGCAGGGGGATTGCTGGCCAGACCTGACAGCCTCACACGGTCAGATACTATCATCTTTTCTGTCTCCCACAAGGGAGGACGACGGCCTATCTGATGGAAAGCCAGTCTCCTGCTGAGGATGGATGCGCAGCTGTGCAGCAGGGGAGGGGACTCCTGTCAAGCATGCGGAGTTTTTGGGGAGAAGCATCTGGAGACTGGCCCCTGGTTTCACAGTCTGGACTCTGGTTGGGAAGGGGGGCAGCCCCCTTTTGTGGGAGTGATCAGAGGTTCTAGGGCGTCCATCACTGGCTGGCCCTGTTGGGGTGCACAGTTGGGGGACGCATGCAGGCCTGGGGAGAGCACGGCAAAGGGCCCAGAATTGCTGGCAAGCCTTGGACGAGCCAAAGGACGCATATTCAGGACTCCCCTGGTCTCGGGGAGGTCACTGCCTGACTCTCGGTGAGCTCAGAAAGAGCCCAGAATGGCCAGGTGTGGTGACTCACACCCGTAATCCCAGCACTTTGGGAGGCCAAGGTGGGTGGATCACTTGAGGTCAGGAGCTCGAGACCAGCCTGGCCAACATGGTGAAACTAAAAATACAAAATTTAGTTGGGCGTGGTGGTATGCACCAGTAATCCCAGCTACGTAGGAGGCTGAGGCACAAGAATCACCTGAATCTGGGAGACGGAGGTTGCAGCGAGCTGAGATTGTGCCACTGCACTCCAGTCTGGGCAACAGAGTGAGACTCTGTCTCAAAAAAAAAAAAAAAAAAACAGAAAAGAAAAAAAATTACTGGAAGCCCCAAAGAGCTTTTGTGTGTGAATTATATCCAAGGCTGGCTACATAAATAATCTTCAGGGCCTAGCACAAAATGAAAGAAAAAAAACTGCTGTGAAAGGTGCTAACAGAAAGCTTTGCCCTTTTTCCATGATCCCTTTTTCCTTCTCTCCTTCCTCTCTCAGCTTGTCATGGTGGTTCTGTTTGCTACTTAATGTCATTCTAAGTAAAGAAAAATAAACATTTAAAATATTAACAAACACTTTACAATTCATTTTTTTTTTGAGGCGGAGTCTTGCTCTGTCACCCACGCTGGAGTACAGTGGCGCGATCTTGGCTCACTGCAGACTCTGCCTCCCGGGTTCAAGCGATTCTCCTGCCTCAGCCTCCCAAGTAGATGGGATTACAGGCGCCTGCCACCACGCCAGGCTAATTTTTGTATTTTTTAGTAGAGACAGGGTTTCACCATCTTGGCCAGGCTGGTCTCGAATTCCTGACCTCATGATCCACCCTCCTCGGCCTCCCAAAGTGCTGGGATTACAGGCATGGGCTACCATGCCCAGCCTTTTTTTTTTTTTTTTTTTTTTTGAGATGGAGTCTTGCTCTGTTGCCCAGGCTGGAGTGCAGTGGCGTGATGTTGGCTTACTGGCTCACTGCAGCCTCCACCTTCCGGGTTCACGCCATTCTCCTGCCTCGGCCTCCTGAGTGGCTGGGACTACAGGTGCGCACCACCGCATCCAGCTAATTTTTTGTATTTTTAGTAAAGATGGGGTTTCACCGTGTTAGCCAGGATGGTCTCGATCTGCTGACCTCAGGTGATCCACCCGCCTTGGCCTCCCAAAGTGCTGGGATTACAGGCGTGAGCCACCTCGCCTGGCCCATCCTTTTTTTGTTTTGTTTTTTTGAGACAGGGTTTCACTCTGTCACCTGGGCTGGAGTGCAGTGGCGCAAACTCAGCTCACTATGGCATTGGCCTCCTGGGCTCAAGCGATCCTCCTACGTCAGCCTCCTGAGTAGCTGGGACTACAGGCGCACGTCACCACGCCCAGCACCCTTTTTTTTTTTTTTTTTTTTGAGACGGACTCTCACTCTGTCGCCTAGGCTAGAGTGCAATGGCGTGATCTCAGCTCACTGCAACCTCTGCCTCCCCGGTTCAAGCGATTCTCTCGCCTCAGCCTCCCAGGTAGCTGGGATTATGGGAACCTGCCATCACGCCTGGCTAATTTTTGTATTTTTGTAGAGATGGGGTTTCACCATGTTGTTGGGCAGGCTGGTCTTGAACTCCTGACCTCAGGTGATCTGCCCACCTCAGCTTCCCAAAGTGCCAGGATTACAGGTGTGAGCCACTGCACCCCAGCCTGGCTACTTTTTAATTTTAATTTTTATAGAGATGGGGTCTCACTATGTTGCCCAGGCTGGTCTGGAACCCCTTGGTTTAAGTGATCCTCCTGCCTTGCCCTTCCAAAGGGCTGGATTTACAGGCGTGAGCCACTGTGCCTGGCCATTGGGTCTGAATTAACCCCGGGCTCCACGCCACAAGGCCACGGGTGACCTTGGCCTGTCTGTGGCTGGTTTGTGGGGTGAACAGGGGCTGGCTGCTGGGTCTGTGTGTGAACACAGGCTGTGGCTGCTCCCTGCAAAAGCTCAGGGTGTGGGGCTCCATGAGGCTCATCCTCTCCTCCCCAGCCACCCGCATGCTACATTTGACTTCCTTTTCTAAAGTGTTCACCTGTGCAAATATTTGTGGTCAGCCCAGCCTGCTGCTGCCATGTCCCTTCGGCCGCCTGGGGTTGCCGCCGGGGCTGCGTTCTGGAGAAGAGCATGTCTCTCAAACTCCGAGGTTTAATTCTTTTGCTCTCCGCAGGGACAGGCACCATCTATGTTCACCTGCACAGCACGCACACACAGGTTCTATTTACAAAGCGACTAAGAACAACACAGTGCAATCAGGAACACATCACAACTGTCAGGAATGGTTCACAGTCAGTCATGAGAGTGTGCGTTTGCCAGCCAGGAGCTTTCAGTGCACACGTGGGTTGCAGCCTCACCTGGTGCTTCCAGCCAGCAGCACAGCCGGCTGCTGCCCCGCCCGGTGTTCTGGTGCTCACTGGCCTCCAGGGCTCAGGCCCCCCCAAAATGGCAAAACAACCCTCCTGTGATTCCCTGAGATCCTCTTTGGACCAAAGGTGCTTTACCCTTTCTTTCCTTCGTTTTCTTTTTTTTGAAACAGGGTCTCACTCTATTGCCCAGGCTGGAGTGCAGTGGTGCGATCTCGGTTTACTTCAGCCTCTGCCTCCCAGGTTCAAGCAATCCTCCCACCTCAGCCTCCTGGGTAGCTGGGACCACAGGCTTGCGACACCATGCCTGACTAATTTTTACATTTTTGGTAGAGATAGGGTCTTACTGTGTTGCCCAGGCTAGCCTCAAACTCCTGGGCTCAAGCAGTTCACCTGCCTCAGGCTCCCAAACTGCTGGGATTACAGACATGAGCTACTGTGCCTGGCCTCTTTCTTTTTTTCTTTTTTTGAGATGGAGTCTTCGTCTGTTGCTAGGCTGGAGTGCAGTGGCGCAATCTCAGCTGACTGCAACTTCCGCCCCCTGGATTCAAGCAATTCTCTGCCTCAGCCTCCCAAGTAGCTGGGATTACAGGCGCCTGCCACCACGCCGGATAATTTTTTTTTGTATTTTTAGTAGAGACAGGGTTTCATCATGTTGGCCAGGCTGGTCTTGAACTCCTGACCTCAAGTGATCCACCTGCCTCGGTCTCATAAAGTGCTGGGATTACAGGAATGAGCCACCATGCACGGCCTTTTTTTTTTTTTTTTTTGAGATTGAGTCCCACGCTATTGCCCAGGCTGGAGTGCAGTGGTGCAATCTTGGCTCACTGCAACCTTCACCTCCCAGGTTCAAGAGATTTTCCTGCCTCAGACTTCCGAGTAGCTGGGATTATAGGCGTGCGCCACCACGCCGGCTAATTTTTGTATTTTTAGTGGAGACGGGGTTTCACCATGTTGGTTGGACAGGCTGGTCTTGAACTCCTGACCTCAAGTGATCCGCCCGCCTCAGCCTCGTAAAGTGCTGGGATTACAGGCGTGAGCCACCACGCCTGGCCTTGCCTGGCCTCTTTCTTGGAAGTTACACTGCACCGGAATGCGATTCACTGGGGAGAGAACGTTTCATCCACCCTGGCTGGGACCAGTGCTGGGAGGGGTTCTGGGTTCTGGGGCTGGTCCCTCCAGTTCTGATCCTGGCCACCGACCGGCAACTGGTCAGTTTGTGCCCTGGACGGGTGGGCAGAAAAATCAATGGTTTTGCTCTGCTGATGAAAGTGGTCCGGACAACTCCTGTGCCGGAGACCAATAAAGCCCCATGGACACAATTATTTACTATAAAGACGTAGTATCGATTGAGCAGTTATGAGGATGAAGTGCAGGAAGGCACTGACATCAGGTGGCCTGCTTTCTCCAGAAGGTGATGGGAAAGCCTAGCTGTTTTTCTTTCTCTTTTGTAAACATTTTAAAACCTTTTTCTGGCCAGGCGCAGAGGCTCATGCCTGTAATCCCAGCACTTTGGGAAGCCAAGGCAGGCGGATCACCCGAGGTCGGAACTTCAAGACCAGCCTGACCAACATGGGAAACCCATCTCTACTAAAAATGCAAAAATTAGCCGGGCATGGTGGCTCGCGCCTGTAATCCCAGCTACTCAGGAGGCTGAGGCAGGAGAATCGCTTGAACCTGGGAGGCGGAGGTTGCAGTGAGCTGAGATCGCGCCACTGCACTCCAGCCTGCGCAACAGAGTGAGACTGCGTCTCAAAACAAAATCAAAAAACCTTTTTCTTATGCAGTGCAGTTGACCTGTGACCAACACAGGTTTGAAGTGCCTGGGTCCACTTAGACATAGCGTTGTTTCTTTTCTTTCTTTCTTTTTTTTTTTTTTTTGAGACAGAGTCTCGCTCTGTCACGTAGGCTGGAGTGTAGTAGCACAATCTCGGCTCACTGCAACCTCCAACTCCCAGATTCAAGTGATTCTCCCCGTTCAGCCTCCCGAGTAGCTGAGATTACAGGCACCCACCACCATGCCCAGCTAATTTTTGTATTTTTAGTAGAGATGGGTTTCGCCATGTTGGCCGGGCTGGTCTCGAACTCCTGACCTCGGATGATCTGCCTGCTGTGGCCTCCAAAGTGCTGGGATTACAGGCGTGAGTCACTGTGCCCAGTCACACTTTTTCTTTTCTTTTCTTCTTCTTCTTTTTTTTTTTTTTTGAGACAAGCTCTCCTTGTGCCCCAGGCTAGAGTGCAGTGGTGCAATCTCAGCTCACTGCAGCCTCGACTTCCCTGGGCTCAGGCAATCCTCCCACCTCAGCCTCCCAAGTAGCTGGGACTATAGGCACCTGCCACTACACCCAGCTCACTTTTGTATTTTTTGTGGTGACAGGGTCTTGCTACATTGTCCAGGCTGGTCCTGAACTCCTGGCTTCAAGCAATCTTCCTGCCTTGGCTTCCCAAAGTGTTGGGATTATAGGCATGAGCAACTGTGCCCAGCCTCAAAGAAGATCAATGTCTTTTTTGTTTGTTTTTGTTTTGAGACACAGTCTTGCTGTGTCACCCAGGCTGGAGTGCAGTGGCGCAGTCTCGGCTCACTGCAACTTCCGCCTCCCGGGTTCAAGGAATTCTCCTGCCTCAGCCTCCTGAGTAGCTGAAATTACAGGCATGCGCCACCACGCCCAGCTAATTTTTGTATTTTTAGTAGAGACAGGGTTTTGCCTTGTTGGCCAAGCTGGTCTCGAACTCCTGGCCTCAGGTGATCCGCCCACCTCAGCCTCCCAAAGTGCTGGGATTACAGGTGTGAGCCACCGCCCCCGGCCAGATCACTGTTTCTGTTTTGATACTTTGGTATCAGGTGCACATCGTGTTTCTCCTTGAACTTGAGCCCACGATCTTAGCATTCATTGGTGGATTGAGTGGTTGAATTCTGGAAGTTCTCGGAATGGCCTTGTTTTCCTCGTCTGCAGAATGAAACTCCAGCTGCCAGAGGGCTTCAGGCAGAGTCATCCTATGGAACATCATGGTTTAAGGGACCCAGGAAAACTGTCACTATGTGGCTACCTCAAGGTGGTACAATTAAGCGAGCGGCTCCAATAAGTCACCCATCCAGACATTCCTGGAGGAGAAGTGACCTTTGGGCTCCTCTCTGTCTTAGGTTCGGGTCACAAATGTGACTTTAGGCTTAGATCGAAAGGCACCCTCGTCTTCAAGCCCACAACGCTGCCATCGGCATGTCACTTTCGTCAAGAGGAATATGTGCAATTAATAAAGGAGACAGGGCTGGCGGGAGCCAATTATAACAAACACATCAGATGCCAATAGCGCTGCACAAACACGCTTTCCCATTGATTCCTGACAATCATTGTTGGCATCTGTGCCTCTCGGGGCCTGTTTTCTGCCCCTTCAGAGACCTTGGTAAAATGTCAGTTCCTGCGCCTTTCCCGAGCGTGCACACTTTCACTGTGTTTGCTCTGCGATACACCTGGGTCGTGTGTACAGAGAAGCAAGGGGGTGCTTTCTGCCGCTAATTTTGCTTTGTTTGACTCTTCTCTGGTGCACAATGTAAGATTTAAAAGCCGTGTAGGCCAGGTGCAGCGGCGCACGCCTGTCATCCCAGCCGCTCAGGAGGCTGAGGCCGGAGAATCGCTTGAACCTGCGAGGAGGAGGGTGCAGTGAACCGAGATCGTGCCACTGCACTCACAGCCTGGGGGACAGAGCGGGACTGCCACCGCCACGCACCCAGCCTGGGGGACAGAGCGGGACTGCCACCGCCACGCACCCAGCCTGGGGGACAGAGCGGGACTGCCACTAGCACACCCTCAGTGATGGTTCCCTCACTCCAGAACTTTCCAAGGGGGCCCATTGATCCCATGACGGAACAGACTGAGTGAACCCAGCTTCTGAACGTGCCTCCGACAACCCGGGCTCTGCCCACCAGGCACAGGCAGCACCAGTTTGTTCTCTGCCCCACGGCAGCGACCCCCTGTCTGTGTGTTTCCTCCCTGGATCCCCTTGCGGGGCCTGACCCAAGCTTGTGCTCAGTGCAGCTTTGTTGAGTCACAGCAGGTGCTTGGGGAGAGCTCCTGGCACAGAAACACGGGTGAGCCCCAAGCCCTGCCAGCTTCTGGAACCTCTGGAATGTTCTCCAACAGAACAAACAGCTCTGCACCTGATGTTGAGTCTGATATCACTCAGCTGTGTTCCAGGTCAGTTGCACATCTGGGTCCACAATGCCTTCCGGGTCGGGGGCATTACCTGTGGGGCCAGGACAGGCCAGACACAGGCCCCACGGGAGGGAAACCATTGAGAGCAGGTCGGGCTGAACATGTGGGTGTGGATTCTTCCCTTGCAAATGTCAAAGGGAACTCTTAACAGCGGTTATTCCAGGGACTAGGACACTTGCATGTGTCTTAATCTAATTAGAGCAAATGGCAGATGTTCTTCCAGGCGGCTTTCAGGGGAGGGGCCAGAACATTTTTCTTTTCTTTCTTTCTTTTTTTCTTTTTTTTTGAGATGGAGTTTTTGCTCTGTCGCACAGGCTGGAGTGCAGTGGTGCGATCTCGGCTCACTGCAACCTCCACCTCCTGGGTTCAAGCGATTCTCCTGCCTCAGCCTCCTGAGTAGCTGGGATCATAGATGCCACCACCACACCCAGCTAATTTTTGTATTTTTAGTAGAGATGGGGTTTCACCATGTTGGCCAGGCTGGTCTCGAACTCTTGACCTCAGGTGAGCCACCCACCTCAGCCTCCCAAAGTGCTGGGCTTACAGGTGTGAGCCACTGCGGATTGTCCAGAACATTTTTCGAATTAGTTGATGGAATGAGTTGATGTTCCTGGGACGGGTGTGGAGGGAGAGCTGTGCCCCTCCCTTCCGTGGACTGGAGAGGCTCACGGTAGAGCAGGCCTAGAACCCAGCTAGGCCACTGTGGTAGCAGGCCACCACCAGAGTCTACTCACTGCATTGGGAGTTCCCTTTCGCCAGGCTGGGCCCAGTCGTCTGCACCTGAACCAAAGCATGTTGCTGGCCAGAGCTCCTGGGCTAATTTCAGGACCATCAGAGTAAAGGGGCACTTCTGTCTTCAGCTCCCCTTGGACCTTGGCTCTTCTGCCTCCTTCCTACTGATAAAGGCCTACCTTTATGGCCTTTATAAAGATAGGAAATTACTTTTTTTTTTTTTTTTTTAAGATTGGCTCTTTCTGGCTGGGCACAGTGGCTCACGCCTGTAATCCCAGCGCTTTGGGAGGCCGAGGCAGGCGGACCACGAGGTCAGGAGATCGAGACCATCCTGGCTAACACAGTAAAACCCTGTCTCTACCAAAAATCCAAAAACAATTAGCTGGGCGTGGTGGGGGGTGCCTGTAGTCCCAGCTACTCAGGAGGCTGAGGCAGGAGAATGGCTTGAACCTGGGAGGTGGAGTTTGCAGTGAGCCAAGATTGTGCCACTGCACTCCAGCCTGGGTGACGGAGTGAGACTCCGTCTCAAAAAAAAAAAGACTGGCTCTTTCTCTGTTGCCCAGGCTGGAGTGCAGTGGAGCAAACACAGCTCACTGCAGCCACCACCTCCTGGGATCAAACAATCCTCCTGCCTCTGCCTCCCATGTAGCTGGGATCACAGCATGCACCATTGCACCCAGTTAATTTTTAAATTTTTTGTAGAGGTGAGGTCTCCCTACGTTGCCCAGGCTGGCCTTGAAACCCTGAGCTTAAGTGATCCTCCCACCCCGGCTTCCCAAAGTGCTGGGATTACAGGTGTGACCCACTGTGCCCAGCCCTAATTCCTTCCTTAAACAATTCCTTGTTTCAAGATCAACTGAGGGGTATGTAAGCAACAGAAATGCCTTTCTCACGCTCTGGAGGCCAGACACCCACACTCCAGGACAGGCAGGTCCGTGTCTGGTGAGGGCCCCCTCCTCGATGGCCATCTTTTCACTGTCCTCGCATGGCAGAAGGGGCAGATGAGGGCCTTGGGGCCTTTTTTTTTTTTTTTGAGACGGAGTCTTGCCTGTCACCCAAGCTTGAGTGCAGTGGCATGATCTCGACTCACTGCAACCTCCACCTCCCGGGTTCGAGCGATTCTCCTGCCTCAGCCTCCCGTGTAACTGGGACTACAGGCACGAGCCACCACACCTGGCTAATGGTTTGTATTTTTAGTAGAGATGGGGTTTCACCATATTAGACAGGATGGTCTCGATTTCCTGACCTCCTGATCCGCCTGCCTTGGCCTCCCAAAGTGCTGGGACTACAGGCATAAGCCACCACGCCCAGCCGCCTGCCTAATTTTTTATATTTTTGGTAGAGACAGAGTTTTGCCATGTTGGCCAGGCTGGTCTCAAACTCCTGACCTCAAGTGATCTGCCTGCCTTAGCCTCCCAAAGTGCTGGAATTACAGGTGTAAGCCACCACACTTGGCCTTTTTTTAAAAAAATTAAATTTTATTTTATTTTCTGAGACAGGGTCTTGCTCTGTCACCCAGTCTGGAGTGCAGTGGTGCAGTCTCGGCTCATTGCAGCCTCCACCTCCCAAGCTCAAGCAATTCTCCCACCTCAGCTTCCTGAGTAGCTGGGACAATAGGCGTGCACCACCACGCCTGGCTAATTTCTGTGTTTTTTGTAGAGATGGGAGTCTCACCATGTTGCCCAGGCTGGTCTTGAACTCCTGGGCTCCAAGTGATCCACCTGCCTCAGCCTCCCAAAGTGCTGGGATTATAGGCATGAGCCGCGGCACCTGACTGTGATGAACTGCTACAGTGAATTTTACCAACTGGTTTGGAGACATCAGATGCCGTCGATACTTTGTAAATGTTGTGCATGAGAGACACCTGTGACCTACTTCTCACACCGGTGCTGGGTCCCACTCCTAGAAATTCTGGTTCTATTGGTCTGGGGTGTGACAGTGGGTGGTTTAAAGCTCCCAGGTGATTCTAATTTGTAGCCAAGGCCAAGAACCTCTGCCCTGGAGCCTGCTCCTCAAAGTCTGCTCCCGAGAGTCCTCGCAGGGCAGAGAGCAGGCAGTCAAGGAAGGTTTCCTGGAGGAGGAGTGAAGAGGTGGCAGAGAGCATTCCAAGCAGAGGGCAGGGCTTAAGAGAAGGCACAGAACAAAAAGCACCACCAAGGGGCTCAAGAGAAGACACAGAACAAAAAGCAGCATCAAGGGGCAGGAAAGAACAAGCTTGATGTTTCTGAATGTCATAGCTGGGATACTGTGTGTGCAAATTGGAGAAGACCCAGCCTAAACAGGCTTGTGTGCAAAGGGAGTTTACTGGTGTCAGCATCAGCCCCATCTGGGAGCTGGTTTGAAAGGCAGGACCTCAGGCTCCTCCCAGGCCCCTTGAATCGGAATCCGCATTTTAACAAGATTCCTGGGTCTGCTCACTCATGTTTGAGAAGCATGGCTTTAGAAGATGAGAAATGGAAGCTAAAATTTAAGCATGTCTTTTTCATTTTCTTTTTTTGAGACAGAGTCTCGCTCTGTTGCCCAGGCTGGGGTGCAGTGGCACGATCTTGGCTCACTGCAACCTCCACCTCCCGGGTTCAATTGATTCTCCTGCCTCAGCCTCCCGAATAGCTGGGATTACAGGCACTCGTCACCACGCAGGCTAATTTTTGTATTTTTAGTAGAGATGGGGTTTTGCCATGTTGGCCAGGCTGGTCTCAAACTCCTGGCCTCAGGTGATCTGCCCACCTCGGCCTCCCAAAGTGCTGGGATTACAGATGTGAGCCACTGCACCCAGCTATTCTGTCTTTTTCCACAAGCCAGCACAGCCCATACTGTATCTGCACATCACATCTCCCAGGCTTTCTCGTCTTTGCATACAAGTCCCAGGAATGCTACTTGATGCTCGATGATGGGGCAACCCAAATTTTCCCTGCTTTACCCTCTGATCAGTAAGACCATGTCTTTTTTTTTTTTTTTTTTTTTGAGATGGAGTCTCGCTCTGTCGCCCAGACTGGAGTGCAGTGGCACAATCTCGGCTCACTGCAACCTCTGCCTCCTGGGTTCAAGTGATTCTCCTGCCTCAGCCTCCCGAGTAGCTGGGACTACAGGCATGTGCCACCACATCTGGCTAATTTTTTGTATTTTTAATAGAGACGGGGTTGCACCGTGTTAGCCAGGATGGTCTCGATCTCCTGACCTCCTGATCTGCCCATCTCAGCCTCCCAAAGTGCTGGGATGACAGGTGTGAGCCACCGTGCCCGGCCGAGACCATGTCTTATTCATCTTTGTACATCAGCATAGTGTGTTGCAAGAATCCTGGAATGAGTTGGGTATAAAATCAGTACAGTACCCTAAAACTTAAAGCATGATAAAATAAAATAAAATAAATAATAATAATAATGAAAAAAAAGAAAACACTGATAACAACAACAACATCAACAACAAATCAGTGGCCGGGCGCAGTGGCTCACGCCTGTAATCCCAGCCCTTTGGGAAGCCGAGGGAGGCGGATCACAAGGTCAGGAATTCGAGACCAGCCTGGTCAATATGGTGAAACCCCATCTGTACTAAAAATACAAAAATTAGCCGGCTGTGGTAGCGGGTGCCTGTAATCCTAGCTACTGGTGAGGCTGAGGCAGGAGAATCGCTTGATCCCAGAAGGCGGAAGTTGCATTGAGCTGAGATCGCGCCACTGCACTCCAGCCTGGGAGACAGAGTGAGACTCCAACTAAAAAAAAAAAAAAAAGTCAGTTTGCAATTGATCATGTGGAATTCGAAATCATGGGCTCAAACGATTCTCTCACTTCACCCTCCCAAGTAGCTGGGACTACAAGTGTGCACCACCATGCCTGGCTAAAGTTTAACTTTTTTTAAGAGATGAGGGCTTGCTATGTTGCCCAGGTTGGTCTCAAACTCCTGGGCTCAAGTGATCCTCTTGTCTTGGCTTCCCAAGGTGCTGGGATTATAGGTGTGAGCCACCATACCCAGTGTAATTCTTATTTTTTTATTTTTTAGACCGAGTCTTGCTCTGTTGCCTAGGCTTGAGTGCAATGGCGTGATCTTGGCTCACTGCAATCTCTGCCTCCTGGGTTCAAGCGATTCTCCTGCCTCAGCCTCTTGAGTAACTGGGATTACAGGTGTGCACCACCACGACTGGCTAATTTTATATTTTAGTAGAGACGGGGTTTCACCATGTTGGCCAGGCTAGTCTTGAACTCCTGACCTCAGGTGATCTGCCCGCCTCAGCCTCCCAAAGTGCTGGGATTACAGGCATGAGCCACTGCACCCAGCCTCCTGATTCTTTTTTTAAGGGACGATTAGTAAAAATAAATGTCAGCAACTTGGGAGCAGTGCTAAGCCAAGCCCTGTGTTTGCTCTACTTCCTAACCCCCAACCAAATGTAACTAAGCCACTGGGGACCTCCACCGTGTGGATACTCCCCTCCCTTCCAATTGTGAGCTCCTCAAAGATGAGGGCAATGCCGGCTCCAAAAAGCACATGACGCATGAATGAATTTGTGAGTGGGTGCAGACAACCTGTCTACACAGGTGTCAGCTTTCCTACTAGTGAAGCAAGCTCCAACAAAAGATTTTTTTTAAGGCAAAGAAAAAAGAAAAAAGAGAAAAAAGTCTCCCATAGGTTGCTTGCCTCATGTGTCCACAGAAGATAATGGATTGCGTTGAAATCCAGGAGCCTTTTCTCTGAAACCTAAGGTCTGTGAGCAGCAGAAAGCGGATGGTCGGAAGATCTGATAAAAGAGTCTAATATTCAAAACAGCCTGGTTAAATGTGCACAGCCTCGAATGCAGACGTGAGCCACATGCTCTCAGGATGCACTGACATTGTTTCGTTATCGAGATGAAGCACTAATGTTTTAGAAGAGTGATGGTGGAAGACAGCTGAAGATTTCCTGTCATTTGAGTGTTTATTTATAATCCCTCCCAGTCTCAGTCCTTGTTCCTAAAAGCGTCCGCATCAAGATGATGATTAAACACAAATACCTCATCAGGTGTCCCCTAAATCCTGGGGTACAGATGGGCAATCTGCAGGTACCTTCCCCCCTGCACAGAGGGAGCATCGAAGCTGCAACCCAGGCTGGACCAAAGGAGGACACGCCAAGCGTTCTCCTTGGGGATCCCCTGATAGGGAGGAACAAGATCCGTCCATAACTGAGTTGAGCTTTTCCTCAGGAATTCAGCTCCATCCACCTGTAACAAAAAACCCAATTTAGGGCTGTGTGCAGTGGCTCACACCTGTAATCCCAGCACTTTCGGAGGCCGAGGTGGGTGGATCACTTGAGGTGAGGAGATCGAGACCAGCCTGGCCAACATAGTGAAGCCCCTGTCTCTACTAAAAATATAAAACTTAGCCGGGTGTGATGGCGCATGCCTGTAGTCTCAGCTACTCAGGTGGCTGAGGCAGGAGGATTGCTTGAGCTTGTGGGGTTGAGGCTGCAGTGAGCCAAGATCGCGCCACTGCACTCCAGCCTGGGTGACAAAGTGAGACTCCGTCTCAAAAAAAAAAAAAAAAAAGGAAAGAAAAACAATCAAGCTATTTAGAGGAAATAATACACACGTTATTTATAAAAGTCTGAAACCAGGCTGGGCGTGGTGGCTCATGCCTGTAATCCCAGCACTTTGGGAGGTTGAGGCCGGAGGATAGCTTGAGCTCAATGGTTCAAGACCAACCTGGGCAACATGGCAAAATCCTTTCTTTGCAAAAAATACAAAAATTAGCCAGGTGTGGTGGTGTGTGCCTGTAGTCCCCGCTACTTGAGAGGCTGAGATGGGAGGATGGCTTGAGCCCAGGAGGCAGAGGTTGCAGTGAGCCGAGATCACACCAGTGCACTCCAGCCTGGGCAACAGAGCCAGACCCTGACTCAAAAAAAAAAAAAAAAAAAAGAAAGAAACAAAAAGTCTGAAACCAAATTGCAACTTGTGCATCTTATGCAAATTGTACAGACGTCGTACGCTACTGATTACACTGAGTGGCTTTATGCACTCACTGTAGGGTTACCCTTAGGAATTTCTGATTCGAAACCCACCGAGGCAGCTCTGATTTCGCTGAGAACTCCATCGCTCTTCTCCACCTTCTCCACCGTGGCTCGGCAGTTGGCCCATCCGTACCTGGCTGCTCAATGGCTTGACTTTGACACAATAAACGGGAACTCGTTCACAATGAAGCCATCTCACGCCAAATCTATGTGTTCTACAGTGATTCCAATGCTAGTCGGGGAATAAAAGTTTAACACAGACTTTACAAAACAGGAGATTGCCAGAAACAATATTTAGGTGTTTCCTTTACCATGAATTCATGTTGGAAGGTTCTGGATGCCTAGGAAAATATAATTCGACATAACTTAATTTTTTTGTTTGTTTTTGAGATGGAGTCTTGCTCTGTCACCCAGGCTGGAGTGCAATGGTGCAATCTCAGCTTACTGCAACCTCCGCCTCCCAGGTTCAAGCGATTTTCTGCCTTAGCCTCCTGAGTAGCTGGGATTACAGGCACGCGCCACCACACCTGGTTAATTTTGGTATTTTTAGTAGAGACGGGGTTTCACCATGTTGGTCAGGCTGGTCTCGAACTCCCGACCTCAGGTGATCCACCCACCTCAGCCTCCCAAAGTGCTGGGATTACAGGCGTGAGCCACCACGCTGGACCTCGCACGTCCTTCTTCTAAAGCATCAGCCGTTGGCGGCAGAGCCCGCTCGAATCCAGCACGTCCTCTTCTTCACTAATTACAGCCAGTCCTCACTATAGGCTTTTGGAAACTGCAACTTTAAGGAAAACGACATGTAACAAAAACTATTTTTTTTCCTTGTTAACATTATAATGAAACAACAAACAACCTAATCTGAAGACCTGTTTTACTTTGTTTTGCTTAAAGTCAGTTTCCAAAGATCCACTGATGATGTTAAATGAAAACTTCACATCTTATTTTGTAGAGATGGGGTCTCGCTATGTTGCCTAGGTTGGTCTCAAACTCCTGGGCTTAAGTGTTCTCCCCCACCTCGGCCTTCCAAAGTGCTAGGATTATAGGCGTGAGCCACCTTGCCCGGCCCTTTTTAATTTTTAGTTAATTAATTATTATTTTTTATTTTTAGAGACAGGGTCTCGCTCTATCACTCAGGCTGGAGTGTAGTGATGCAATCATGGGTCACTGCAGCCTGGAACTCCTATGCTCAAGCAATCTTCCCGCCTCAGCCTCCCAAGTAGCTGGAACTACAGGGCGCCACCACAGCTGGCTCAGGAAAGGGCGTTCTAAGGAGGAGACATTTAAGCTGAAACCTTGTGAGTGAGAAGCAGCCAGGCATGTGAAGAGGGTTCCAGCAATACAGAACATGCTGCCCAAAGGCCCCGGGCCGGGAAAGAACTTGAATTGTTGCCAGCACTGGAAGAAATCCAGAATGCTGGGCTTGCTGAGCTTTGGTGAGGAAGTCACAGAGGCAGGGCGTCCCAGGCCTTGCTGGGGGAGGTCCTGAGCCCAGGTTGTCGGATAAAATGTAGGGCTCCCAGTTAAATTTTTTTTTTTTTGAGACAGAGTCTTACTCTGTCACCCAGGCTGGAGTGCAGTGGCGAGATCTTGGCTCACTACAACCACTGCATCCCAGGTTCAAGCGATTCTCCCGCCTCAGCCTCCCAAGCAGCTGGGATTACAGGCACCCACCACCACGCCTGGCTATTTTTTTGTATTTTTATAGAGATAGGGTTTTGTCATGTTGATCAGGCTGGTCTTGAACTCCTGACCTCAGATGATCTGCCCGCCTCGGCTTCCCAAAGTGCTGGGATTACAGGCGTGAGCCACCACACCCGGACAACTCAAAATTTTAAAAACATTAAATGGTACTTTACATGTAGAGAAGTTGAATAAAACGTAGTTATTCCCCCATGATGTTCTTTTAGAAGTTTTTTTTTTTCTTTTGAGACAGGGTCTCACTCTGTCACCCAGGCTGGAAAGCAGTGGTGCCATCTTGGCTCACTGCACTCCAGCCAGCCTAGGCAACAAGAGCAAGACTCCATCTCAAAACAAAACAAAACACAAAAAACAAAAAACAGCACCCCTGCATAGGACAGCTTCATCTGACAGCACCACCGTCTTCTACGTGGACTGAAAAAAATTTAATTACAAACTGGGCGGGGTGGCTCACGCCTGTAATCCCAGCACTTTAAAGGCCAAGGCCGGGTGGATCACCTGAGGTCGGGAGTTTGAGACCAGCCTGAACAACATGGTGAAACCCTGTCTTTACTAAAAATACAAAAATTAGCCGGGCGTGGTGGCGGGTGCCTGTAATCCCAGCTACTTGGGAGACTGAGGCAGGAGAATCGCCTGAACTGGGATTACAGGCACACACCACCAGGCCCAGTTAATTTTTGTATTTTTAGTGGAGACAGGATCTCACCATGTTGGCCAGGCTGGTCTCGAACTCCTATACGATCCCACACCAGCATTCCTCAAAACCGTCCAGGTCACCAGAAACACTGTCACAGCCCAGAGGAGCCCAGTGAGACATGGTGACCAAAGGCGATGTGGGGGCCTGGAGCAGAAAAGAAAATTAGGGGAAGAGTAAGCAAACCTGAATCAACTACCGACTTTGGTTAGTACTAATGTAGCAATATGGGTTTATTCATTGTAATAAATGTACCATACTAATATATTTTTTTTTTATTTTATTTATTTATTTATTTTTGAGACTGAGCCTTGCTCTGTCGCCCAGGCTGGAGTGCAGTGGCTCGATCTCGGTTCACTGCAACCTCTGCCTCCTGGGTTCAAGTGATTCTCCTGCCTCAGCCTCTGGAGTAGCTGGGATTACAGGTGCATGCCACCATACCGAGCTAATTTTTGTATTTTTACTAGAGATAGGGTTTCACCATGTTGGTCAGGATAGTCGAACTCCTGACCTCAGGTGATCCCCCCGCCTCAGCCTCCCAAAGTGGTGGGACGACAGGCGTGAGCCACTGTGCCTGGCCCACACTAATATGTTAATAATAGGGGAAACTGGGCATAGGGCATATAGAAACTCCCTGAACTAGCTTCTCAATTTTTCTATAAATCTAAAACTCTTCTAAAAAATAACATCTATTTTTAAAATTCTATTAGACAATTCTCATATCAACTTTCTGTAAAGGACTGACAAAGATTCTTCTATACTACATTTTTACTTTTTTTTTTTTTTTTTTTTTGAGACGGAGTTTTGCTCTTGTTGCCCAGTGGAGTGCAATGGCACGATCTCGGCTCACCACAACCTCTGCCTCCTGGGTTCAAGCAATTCTCCTGCCTCAGCCTCCGGGTAGCTGGGATTACAGGTGTGAGCACCATGCACCACAACTCCTGGCTAATATTGTATTTTTAGTAGAGACGGGGTTTCTCCATGTTGGCCAGGCTGGTCTCAAACTCCTGATCTCAGGTGATCCACCCGGCTCAGCCTCCCAAAGTGCTGCGATGACAGGCACGAGCCGCCACCGTGCCCAGCCCTTTTTTTTTTTTTTTTTTGAGACAAGGTCTCGCTCTGTCACCCAGGCTGGAGTGCAGCGGCACAATCACAGCTCACTGCAGCCTCAACTTCCCTGGGCTCAGGTGATTGTCTCACCTCAGGCTCCCAAGTAGCTGGGACTACAGGTGAGCCACCACCCCTGGCTATTTTTTGTAGAGATGGGATTTCACCATGTTGCCCAGGCTAGTCTCAAACTCCTGAGCTCAAGCAATCCATCCGCTTCCACCTCCCAAAGTGCTGGGATTACAGGTGTGAACCACTGTGTCTGGCCCATTTTTACATTTTCAAAAAATGTATTGAATATTATACACATAGAAGTGCCCAAGCCATCAGTGTACAACTCAATGAATTTTCACAAAGGTGACCATTTACCATTGCTCAGACCAAGGAACAGAAGGTAACCAGCACCCCAGAACCCCCCTCACTCCCCTTCCTCTGCCTACCCCTCCTCAGCAAGAGTAACCACGACTGGACCTTGTAAAGCTATGTATTTGTTCTGCTTATTTTTAAATCTTATGTAAATGAATCATAGATGATCTCACACTGCATTTTAATAGACACCACCATTCTCTTTCTCCTCTCTAGGGCTTTCAGCACTTCTCAAATCTTACAAGTTGTGAGAAAATGTATCATTCTTTTACACTCAACTGTGTCAAACATCCTAAATAAAGTTCCCAAACCCAGGAAAGCCAGGGACTGTCTGCGATTTGCTGTTCCCAAACCCATGAAACCCAGGGACCGTCTATGATTTGCTGTGGCTTCACCTGTATGGGTCCAGGTTGCTCACGCCCACCTGTTCACCCTTATGAGAACCCATCACATTAAGAAGATGGAAAACAGGCCGGGTGCAGTGGCTCATGCCTGTAATCCTAGCACTTTGAAAAGCTCAGGCCAGGATCACTTGAGACCAGGAGTTCAAGACCAGCATGGCCAACATGGCGAAATTCCATCTCTACTGAAAAAACAAAAATTAGCCGGGCGTGGTAGCACATGGCTGGAATCCCAGCTACTCGGGAGGCTGAGGCAGGAAAATCGCTTGAACCCGGGAGGCAGAAGTTGCAGTGAGCAGAGATCGTGCCATTGCAATCCAGCCTGGGCCACAAGCGCGAAACTCTGTCTCAAAATAAATAATAAAAGTTTATCATATTTTATTATTTAGTCATAGCTTATTTAGACGATACTTGTATTGATTTGCCCACAGAGTCACTCTGGGTTGAGACAGAAAGCAGTCAGAAGCAATTCGTGCTCTCTGTTGGCATTAGCGCTAAGAATAAAATAAGTCAATACAGTCGCTTCCACAGTATGACAAAAGGTTCCGTCTTGATCAGTCATTTTCTGACCCAAGGTCACAGCTCTTGCAAAATTTTACTGTAGCTCGACAAACTCTCCATATCAACTCCACATTACAAGATCTTTCATTTCTTCAATTAAACAACTGGAAATGGATACCATCCATGCTCTCAGATTTATGATGTCAATAAAGCCCATTATGATCACACCCTGCTGTTGAAAAATGGGATGGCAGGGAACTGACAGGCTGTTTTTAGGTCACCGTCTTACACAATACCAACCGCCCATCAGGTTGTTTCAAAGGCTTTCAGCCACTGACTAATAGAAAAAGAGACTGCATACAACGTTTCATTCATGTTTTGCTAGGCTAGATACATTTGTTGTAGCGGTCTCATATTTGTAAGTCCGTGGAAAAACCTGAAAGTATTTTTTTCTTGAAAATTTTTTTGAAAAAAAAGGTATTCTTTGTACAATAACTATAGAGAAAAGATGTTAAAATGTCACAACAGTGATTCCATATAAATTCAGTTTCTTTTTTTTTTTTTTTTTTGAGACAGGATCTCATTCTGTTGCCCAGGCTGGAGTGCAGTGGCGCAATTTCAGCTAACTGTAGCCTCGACCTCCTGGGCTCAAGCGATCCTCCTACCTCAGCCTCCTGAGTAGCTGGGACTACAGACAAGCTCCATCACACCAGGCTAATTTTTGCATTTTTTTTATAGAGACGGGGTCTCACTCTGTTGCCCAGGTGGAACTCAAGCTCCTGGGCTCAACTGATCCTCCCTCCTCGGCTTTCCAAAGTGCTGGGATTACAGGCATGAGCCGCCGCATTCAGCCCAAATTCACCTTGTTTTTCTTTTTTCTTGAGATGGAGTTTTGCTCTTGTTGCCCAGGCTGGAGTGCAATGGCTTGATCTTGGCTCACTGTAACCTCCACCTCCCGGGTTCAAGCGATTCTCCTGCCTCACCCTCCTGAGTAGCTGGGATTACAGGCATGCGCCGCCATGCCCAGCTAATTTTTTGTATTTTTAGTAGAGATGGGGTTTCACCATGTTGGCCAGGCTGATCTCCAACTCCTGATCTCAGGTGATCCACCCACCTCGGTCTCCCAAAGTGCTGGGATTACAGGTGTGAGCCACTGCAGCTGGCTCAAATTCACTTTTAAAGTATTATTTTATGATGGGAAATACTGATAGAGGGTACATGTTGCATTTATAAGTTTTAATATAATTTTTCATTTATTAACTCATTGGACAACCCAGTAAAATGTCATTAGGAGTGAGAATCAGGAATGATGGATTCACGGTCTAGTTGCAAGACTCATCACAGGCCATTAACCTCTGAAAAGCCTTTATCTGCTTCGGTGAGTGCTTCCAGAGTTTGCAACACGAATATATGTCCACGAATATAAGTTTGATATGATAGTGAGAGTCTGCCTATTCAGAAGAAAAAGTTGCCCAGCTGGATTTAGTTTATCTTCGTCTCAGTGTTCTTTATTTTAATTTTAAAATATTTGAGTATTAAAGATTGAATTCTATTTGGGATGATGGAAACATTCTGGAAATAGACAATGATGATGGTGATACAACCTTATTAATGTACATAGTGGCACTGACTTACGCCCTTAAAAATGGTTTAGGCCAGTCGGGCGCGGTGGCTCACGCCTGTCATCCCAGCACTTTGGGAGACCGAGGCGGGTGGATCACCTGAGGTCAGGAGGTCGAGACCAGGCTGGCCAACATGGTAAAATCCCGTCTATACTAAAAATACAAAAAATTAGCCGGGCGTGGTGGTATGTACCTGTAATCCCAGCTACTCGGGAGGTTGAGGCAGGAGAATCGCTTGAACCCCGGAGGTGGAGGTTGCAGTGAGCCGAGATCGCGCCACTGTACTCCAGCCTGGGTGACAGAGTGAGATTCCATCTCAAAAAAAAAAAAAAAAAAGTTTCAGTGGTACATTTTGTTATGCTTTTTTTTTTTTTTTTGGTAGCGACAGGGTCTCACTAATGTTTCCCAGGCTGGTCTCAAACTCCTGGGCTCAAGCATGTTAGCATATTTTATCACAATTTAAAAATAAAGGCCAGGTGGCTGGGCATGGTGGCTCACGCCTGTAATCCCAGCACTTTGGGAGGCTGAGGCGGGTAGATCACCTGAGGTCAGGAGTTCAAGACCAGCCTGGCCAAGATGGTGAAACCCTATCTCTACTAAAAATACAAAAAAATTAGCTGGGCGTGGTGGCGGGCACCTGTAATCCCAGCTACTCAGGAGGCTGAGGCAGGAGAATTGCTTGAACCTAGGAGGCAGAGGTTGCAGTGAGCCAAGATCATGCCATTGCACTCCAGCCTGGGCGACAGAGCGAGACTCGGTCTCAAAAAAAAAAAAAAAGAAAAGGAAAGAAAGAAATTATCTCTGATCCTTAGATAGTTTGTGAATCAGTGGCCGCTTTCGCTCCCCGTGGGGTTCGTTTTAGTGTTCTATTTCTCCCCCACATCACTACCTTCTCCCAACAGCCACTGCACCTGCCTCACAGTTGCAAGATAAAATACAGGATGCCGAGGCCAGGTGGAGTGGCTCACGCCTATAATCCCAGAGCTTTGGGAGGCTGATGTGGGAGGATCGCTTGAGCCAGGAGTTTGAGACCAGCCTGGGCAACGTAGCAATGCCTTATCTCTACTAAAAATAACAATAGTAGGCCACTGCAGTGGCTCACACCTGAAATCCCAGCACTTTGGGAGGCCAAGGCAGGCAGATTGCTTGAGCCCAGGAGTTTGAGACTAGCCCAGGCAACATGACAAAACCCTGTCTGTACAAAAAAATACAAAAATTAGCCGGGTACAGCCAGGCACAGCCGGGCGCAGTGGCTCACACCTGTGATCCCAGCACGCTGGGAGGCCGAGGCGGGCAGATAACCTGAGGTCAGGAGTTTGAGAATGACCTGATCAACATGACGAAACCCCCTTTCTACTAAAAATACACACACACAAAAATAATAACTGAGTGTGTTGGTGCATGCCTGTCGTCCCAGCTACTTGGGAGGCTGAGGCACGAGAATCGCTTGAACTCAGGCTGCAGAGGTTGCAGTGAGCAGAGATCACGCCACTGCACTCCACCCTGGGTGACAAAGCGAGACTCCATCTCAATTAAAAAAACTTAGCCGGGCATGGTGGTGCATGCCTGTAATTTCAGCTACTCGGGAGGCCAAGGTCGGAGGATCACCTGAGCCCAGGAGTTCAAGGCTACAATGAGCCATGTTCGTGCCACTGCACTCCAGCCTGGACAACAGAATGAGACCCTGTCTCAAAATAAAAAGACATTTTAAAAAAGGAAATGATTTAAGGGACCTAGCAGAGACTATAATTACCTTTTCTCTTGTTTAATTAATAAAGAGATGTCTAGAACATTTTACTGTGGCTAATATTCCCAGAGAGAATCACTTCTTTATTTGCTGATAACACAAATACAGGGTCCCAATAGCATCCAGTAATTCACAAAGTAATTTTTTCAGGATTAGCACCATGTTCCCACGGGAGCTCACGTTGCTGTCATCCACACTGCACACTTTGCAGGCAAGAATTTTATTCACCTGTTTATTCTGCCTCTTAGAAAATATATTTTAATTATTTAGGAAACGTTACCAAGTAAAATTTTAACCTCAAAGGTTGATCAAAGTCACATTACAAAGTTGTATTTGCCTCATGTGCTGGTGAAATACTTTGACACTTGTCTACACTTCAAACGAGAATTTACAAAGTGAAATGAGAGGACTCGTAATTTAATTTTTTTTTTTTTGAGGCGGAATCTCACTCTGTCGCCCAGGCTGGAGTGCAATGACCTGATCTTGGCTCACTGCAACCTCTGCCTCCCGGGTTCAAGCGATTCTCCTGCCTCAGCCTCCTGAGTAGCTGGGACTACTATATACTGAGGAAGCTTTTCTGGTTTTTTAAGAAAAAAGTGGCTGGGCGTGGTGGCTCACGCCTGTAATCCCAGCACTTTGAGAGGCCAAGGCAGGCGGATCACGAGGTCAAGAGATCGAGACCATTCTGGCCAACATGGTGAAACCCTGTCTGTACTAAAAATACAAAAATTAGCTGGGTGTGGTGACCCATGCCTGTAATCCCAGCTACTCGGGAGGCTGAGGTAGGAGAATGATGTGAACCCGGGAGGCGGAGGTTGCAGTGAGCCGAGATCTCGCCATTGCATTCCAGCCTGGCGAGAGAGCGAGACTCCGTCTCAAAAAAAAAAAAAAAAAAAAAAAAGAAAGAAACAATTGAGATGCCTCCTGAAAAAAAGAAAAAGGTGGAGAAAAATAAATTTTTTTTTTTTTTTGAGACAGGATGTTGCTGTGTGGCCCAGGCTGGAGTGCAGTGCTGCGATCACGGCTCGCTGCAACCTTGAACTGCTGGGCTCTGGGGATCCTCCCACTGCAGCCTCCCAAAGTGCTGGGATTACAGGCACACACACCACACCCAGCTGATTTTTTGATTTTGTGGAGATGGTGTTTTGCCATGTTGCCAAGGCTGGTCTCGAACTCCTGGGATCAAGCAATCTTCCCGCCTTGGCCTCTCACAGTGCTGGGATTACAGCGCTGGCATGCCTGGCGAAAATGTGATGTTAAAAGTGTTAGAAACCAATACAAGGGAAAGAATTTCCCACTTTGTGAGCTGTGGGTGTCCCTTGAGTGGAACTAGGACACCTATAGAACGCTGCTGTGGCCATGAGCCCTCTGGGGCCATTTGCATGTGAGCCCCAAGAAGGAAGGTGATTGGAGGAATGGACACACCGAGGAAGCTGGTCTATTAACAGTGACTATTCTCTGCTTCTTTTGTTTTTTTTTCCCTACTTAATTGAAGGAAAATATGAACTGAAAGAGGGGAATGAATGGTAAAGCCAGTTCAGCAGGTACAGTCTTATGCAACCCATGTTAGTAACAGTTATCCACAGAATGTAGCCTTTCATATTTTCCCATCCATTATTTCAGAGTATGCTAACTTTGACCTTTATGAGCTTTTTAAGGGAGTTATGTTTATCTACATTTTACACATTGTTTTAAGGTTCTAGGGAAGTAACTTCTAAGATCTTACAGCAAATTATTATTATTATTATTATTTTATTTATATTTATTTTTTTGAGATGGAGTTTTGCTCTTGTGGCCCAGGCTGGAGTGCAATGGTGTGATCTCAGCTCATTGCAACCTGCGCCTCCCAGGTTCAAGCGATTCTCCTGCCTCAGCCTCCTTAGTAACTGAGATTACAGACGTGGGCCACCACGCCCGGCTAATTTTGTATTTTTAGTAGAGATGGGGTTTCACCATGTTGGTCAGGCTGGTCTCGAACTCCTGACCTCAGGTGATCTGCTCACCTTGGCCCCCCAAAGTGCTACGATTACAGGCTCGAGCCACTGCGCCTGGCCAAATTATTATTACTGTTATTTTTTCAGACAGGGTATTGCTCTGTCACCCAGGCTGGAGTTCAGTGGTGCGATCACAGCTCACTGCAGCCTCAACCTCCCCAGCTCAAGTGATCTTCCCACCTCAGCCTCCAGAGTAGCTGGGACTACATGCGTGCACCACCACGTCTGGCTAATTTTTTTTTTTTTTTTTTGTAGAGATGGGGTCTCACTGGGTTGCCCAGGCTGGTCTCGAAGTCCTGGGCTCAAGTCTCGGCCTCCCAAAGTACTGGGATTATAGACATGAGCCACCACACCCAGCTGATCATACAGCAAATTAAATTAAGGGCTAAAACTAGCAGCAAGCGCTATGGTACCAATCTGCCAGTCTCCCTGTCATAGCATGCAGCAACCTAGATATGCCCTATCAAGTGAATTTAATGCCTTCTCCCCTTTTTTTGCAGCTTTGTTACATATCAGACGCGGATATTACTTACGAGTATTGAATGATCCCCTCAGTAAACACCAGCTATGCAGGAGGTGCTACCTTAGCAATAGGAGCTTCAGTCTGGGAGGAGAGTGGGACATATAAGCAAATAAATACATCACGTTTCCCACAGGGCGCGTATTTTGTGTTCATCTTCGTCCCACTGGATCTGTCCAAACTTTTCATTTTTGACAGATAAGGAAAATGAAGTTCAGATGCTTGAGTGACACAGCTAATTAGTGGCAAGGCTGAGACTTTTGACCAGACAGCCTGACTTTTAGTTTCTACCATGCATGTTAACTCCTCCTAAACCCCATTTATTTTCTCATTTCAGACAACTGCGCAATAACACTGCTAAGATAAAAGCACTCTGATTAATAAACACTGAAATTAAGCAGGTTAAGAAATATCTATTGTCCTTTTCTCAGAGTGATAATTTTAAAAACTGAAATTGGTCTTTTGCACTCGCAGTTTTCTCTTGCTTCCTTAAACATTTGCGAAATATGAGAACAATATAAATAGGTTCTCAAGCTCTGAGCAAACCCTTAACCATGTAAATAAGCCCCATAAAGAACAAAGCCTGGCCGGGTGCGGTGGCTCACGCCTATAACACCAGCACTTTGGGAGGCAGAGGTGGGAGGATCGCTTCAGCCCAGGAGTTCGAGACCAGCCTGGGGAACCTAGGGAGATCCTGTCTCTACAAAAAATACAGTAAATTAGCTGGGTGTGGTGGGGGCACGCCCGTAGTCCCAGCTACTCGGGAGGCTGACGTGGGAGGATCACTTGAACCTGGGAGTTTCAGGTCGCAGTGAGCTGTGATTACATCACTGGACTCCAGCCTGGGTGACAGAGCAAGACCCTGTCTCAAAACACAAATAAATAAATACATACATAAATACATAAAATAAAATAAATAAAAGTAGAGTAGAGTTGGTTCATTGCAACAGATACTGTCTGGCCCACAAAGCCCTTTACATATAGCAACTTACAGAAGAATTTGTGCCCCTGTGATAGATAGCATTGGAGGTTTCCGCCTAGGGAAAGCTGTGGTGCAGCCCTGAGAAGCGTCATGTGGTAAGATTCATCCCTCTGAGGGCATGAGATGGGCTGGGGCAGGGGAGATGAGAGCCCCTGCAGCGTGCTGCTCCATCCCCTGACAACACTGCCAGAGCCGCAGGAGGGTGGCAGCAACAGACGTGGAGAGACAAGGGCAGGTGCTAAGGAAAAACAGAACCTGGCTCCTGATGATGACAGTGGAGGAGAAGGGAGGATTCAAGGCTGCCTTTGAGACGCTGAGCTTCAGTTACCAGGTGTTTTCCATAGAATTGGAAGGTTCTGAGCTGGCTTGGGGTGAGCCTAGGAGCTGAACTTTAGATACTTGGCAATGCTGCAGACGGCTGGCAAGGTGGGGCTGGAACAGCTCAGTCAGAGATGTTGTTAATGGCCACATAGCTGGCAAAGGTACGCTGCAATGATTTAGGAGGGTTTAAAAAATTATATGTGTTTATGGCTGAACGCGGTGGCTTATGCCTGTAATCCCAGCACTTTGGGAGGCTGAGGAGGGCAGATTATTTGAGATCAGGAGTTCAAGAGCAGCCTGGCCAACGTGGTGAAACCCTGTCTCTGCTGAAAATACAAAAATTAGCTGGGTGTGGTGGCGCGCACCTGTAATCCCAGCTACTTGGAAGGCCAAGACAGGAGAATCGCTGGAACCCGGGAGGTGGAGGTTGCAGTGAGTCAGGATTGTGCCACTGCACTCCAGCCTTTGTGACAGAGCGAGACTCTATCTCAAAAAAAAAAAAAAAATATATATATGTGTGTGTGTGTGTGTGTGTGTGTGTGTGTGTGTGTGTGTGTGTGTTTAATATAAATGGTGCTGAAACATGGCCATGACAGCACTCCCAAGACATGGGCCCTTCCTTCTGTTGTCACCTCAGTAAATTTCCCATGGGATAGGCTTCCAAAGGTCAAAGCCTGTGCCTTGTGTGCTCATGCCCTCTTCTGCTCCCTCTAGTACGGGGTGCCAGACATGCAGCACGCAGGAACCACTCCAGGTCCCTGGGCACGGACTACGGATGCTGAGTTATTTCAAGCCCAGCACGTTACTCACTTCAGCTCAGCACCTCTCACCTTGTCCTGAGGCTTTCAGTTCCAGTTTCAATTCACCGTTCAACCTTTTTTAAAATTTTTATTTATTTATTTATTTTTTTGAGACGGAGTCTTAAAAGAGCTTAGGAGCTGAGCTTTACATACTTGGCAATGCTGCAAATGGCTGGAGCGCAGTGGCGCGATCTCGGCTCACTGCAACCTCCACCTCCCAGGTTCAAGCAATTCTCCTGCTTCAGCCTCTCGAGTAACTGGGATTACGGGCACTTGCCACCACAATACATTTTTGTGTTTTCAGTAGAGACGGGGTTTCGCCACGTTGCCCAGGTAGGTATCCAGCTCCTGACCTCAGGTGATCCGCCCACATTGGCCTCCCAAAGTGCTGGGATTATAGGTGTGAGCCACCACGCCCGGCCTCCAGTAGCTCTTAAATTGCTTCTTTTTGGCCCTAAACACGATTTCCACATCTAGTTCTTCCAGTCCCTTTTGCAGGTTACCTCACTCCTCTTCTCTACATAAACTTCTGCAAAAGTTTACAAAAAATCTGTAAATGTTAGTGTATCTACAACCTATTTATTTATTTATTTATTATTATTATTTTTTCTGAGATGGAGTTTCACTCTTGTTGCCCAGGCTGCAGTGCAATGGCGCAATCTTGGCTCAGTGCAACCTCCGCCTCTCGGGTTCAAGTGATTCTCCTGCCTCAGCCTCCCAAGTAGCTGGGATTACAGGCATGTGCCACCATGCCGGCTAATTTTTGTATTTTTAGTAGAGATGGGGTTTCACCATCTTGGCCAGGCTGGTCTCGAACTCCTGACCTCAGGTGATCCACCCGCCTCAGTCTGTCAAAATGCTAGGATTACAGGGGTGAGCCACCACGCCTGGCCTACAATCTATTTAAAACATGATTAGGCCAGGCACAGTGGTTCATGCCTATAATCCCAGTGCTTTGGGAGGCTGAGGCAGGAAGATTGCTTGAGTCCAGGAGTTCAAGACCAGCTTGGGCAATATAGCGAGACCCCATCTCTACAAAAAATACAAAACTTAGCCGGCGTGGTGGTGTGCACCTACGGTCCCACGGGAGGCTGAGGTGGGAGGATCACCTGAGCCCAGGGAGGTCGAGGCTGCAGTGAACTGTGATCGTGCCACTGCACTCCAGCCTGGGTGACAGAGTGAGACCCTGTTTTGGGAGAAAAACAAAAAAGATGATCAGTCCTTTGATGGAGTGACGAGTGGGGGTGAGACTAATTATGCCAGTAACTGATCTATTAGTATTTCAGCTCCTGGGAGGAAGACCATAGTCACGGGATCAATGTTGGAAAAGTTATAGTTTTGTTAAATAAATAAAAGCTTATCTTGTAATTCATTAAAATAACTGTCAATTTTTAATGAATTTCTATCTTGTAATTCATTAAAATAACTGTCAACGTTTCTACTGATTAGAACGTGTAAAGTTTATGACTATATATTTTGCCTGTCACTCCTTTGTGACAGCTCCTAGATGTTTTGACAGCTGGCATGCTCTGGGGAGCTGACCATGTAGCCAACTACCGTTTCTTTAGCCAGACATGTGAGCTATTTCAGCTCTGACCCTTGTTCGCTCACCCTTGACTTCTGCATCAAGCGGCAAGGGCAAGCTAGCATTTCTAGTCCTTATTTCTGTTCGTGTACATCCAAAATATATTGACAAGTCAATCCTATTGTTAAGAGCAAGCCAATTTCACAGAACTGCTATAAAAAATGGAAGAAACAAATTCCGTACACAACAAGGGAGACTTAATTTCACGAGCGTGAAGCAATTCCACTCTTTTAGGCTTGTATTTTGAAGCGTCGTGGCTTATGAGAAGCCTGTTGTGTCCTGGCAAGGCTGACACTGTTTGCTTAACCTTATGTAGCTTTCTGCAAAAATTAATTTACTAAAACGTGACAAAATTTAAAAAATTTTAGAATATTATTGCTTCACTGAGGCTCAAATGAAAAATGCATGAAAACTATTTTTATATTTTTTCCTCTCCTTTAAGATGGACTTAAAATGCTAGTTTATTTTATTTTGTTATTTTGTGTTTTTTTTTTTTGAGACAGAGTCTCTCTCTGTTGCCCAGGCTGGAGTGCAGTGGCCCGATCTTGGTTCAATGCAACCTCCACCTCCTGGGTTCAAGCAATTCTCCTGCCTCAGCCTCCCGAGTAGCTGGGACTAAAGGCGCATGCCACCACGCCTGGCTAATTTTTTGTGTTTTAGTAGAGACGGGGTTTCACCGTGTTGCCCAGGCTGGTGGCCAACTCCTGAGCTCAGGCAATCCGCCCACCTTGGCCTCCCAAAGTGCTGGGATTACAGACGTGAGCCACTGCCCCCGGCCACTAGTTTATTCTTTTGGAAAGATAAAGATAGGTTTTTTTTTTTTTTTTTTTTGAGATGGAGTCTCCATCTGTCACCCAGGCTGGAGTGCAGTGGTGTAATCTTGGCTCACTGCAAACTTTGCCTCCCAGGTTTAAGCGATTCTCCTGCGTCAGCCTCCCGAGTAGCTGGGATTACAGGCTCCCGCCACCATGCCTGGCTAATTTTTGTATTTTTAGTAGAGACGGGGTTTCACCACGTTGGGCCAGTCTGGCCTCGAACGCCTGAGCTCAGGCAATCTGCCCTCCTCGGCCTCCCAAAGTGCTGGGATTACAGGCATGAGCCACCAACCCCGGCCAAAAATATCTTCTTTTAAAGGCAGAGAGTGGAAAGGAATAGGGACAATTTAAAAACCCAACTCTTCCCATTATATTTGAAATGGTGAAATGCAGGTACTTTATTTTGCTTCCCAGTATTATTTGGGAAATTAAAAAAAAATGAGGAAAAGAAAAACTGTATTTTAATAATAACATAAAACTTGGTTCTACAGTGGTATTTTTCTTTTATAATATGTGTGTGTTATATGCACCAAAGTTGTTCTTCTCTTTTTAAAGAGAAACTTAAATAATGCTACATGTGGACAGTAGTAGGTGACAAATTTAATGGACTTAGTTTTTGGATCTTACTTGCCCTGGGTTGGTACTCTGTTAACAAAAATTAGTATAAGTCATTAAACTAAAAAGATTTCTAAATGGAAGTAATTAAAAACATGAAGAGCTGAGAAAATTTTTGTCAGATTCACCTAAGTCCAATCCTTAGCACATCTAATTATATATATTTTTTTCATACATAGATATACACATCTAGGGTTTTTTCTTTCTTTTTCTTTTTTCTTTTCTTTTGAGACGGAGTCTCGCTCTGTCGCCCAGGCTGGAGTGCAGTGGCGCGGTCTCAGCTCACTGCCAGCTCCGCCTCCCGGGTTCACGCCATTCTCCTGCCTCAGCCTCCGGAGTAGCTGCGACTACAGGCGCCCGCCACCACGCCCAGCTAATTTTTTGTATTTTTAGTAGAGATGGGGTTTCATCTTGTTAGTCAGGATGGTCTCCATCTCCTGACCTCGTGATCCGCCCGCCTCGGCCTCCCAAAGTGCTGGGATTACAGGCGTGAGCCACCGCGCCCAGACCATCTATGGGTATTTTCTTGATGTACTACATACCAAATCTATCATTAGATGTAGATATATTAATTAATTAATTAATTAATTTTGTAGAGACAGGGTCTTACTCTTGCCCAGGCTGGAGTGCAGTAGCGCCATCATAGCTCACCACAGCCTTGAACTCCTGGGCTCAAGCGATTCTCCCCCCTCAGCTTCCCCAGTAGCTGGGACTACAGGCATGCATCATCGTGCCTGGCTCATTTTTTCTTTTTTTTTTTTGGAGACAGAGTCTCACTCTGTTGCCCAGGCTGGAGTGCAGTAGTACAGTCTCGGCTCACTGCAACCTTCCTCTCCTGGGTTCAAGCGACCTCTCCCGGGTTCAAGCGATTTTCATACCTCAGCCTCCTGAGTAGCTGGGACTACTCGGGTGGGCGGGCGGCGCCACAAGACAACCAGGAACTCACCACCACGCCTGGCTAATTTCTTTCGTATTTTTAGTAAAGACGGGGTTTCACCATGTTGGCCAGGCTGGTCTTGAACTCCTGAGCTCAGGTGATCCGCCCGTCTCTGCCTCCCAAAGTGCTGGGATTACACGCGTGAGCCACCGCGCCCGCCCTTCATAATATTATAGATAGAGAGATATGTTTATTTTTTTCCGGCGCACCGTCTTTTGGAATCCAGCGACCACAGAGACACACGCGGCTGTGAGAGCGCACGGAGACCCCTCCCCGCGCCTGCGGCTGTCTTGTCCCTCTAACTCCCAAGAAGGAAGAAACGGGAACCGGGCTCCCCCTCCCCTCCCCCGAGGGCTGAGTCTGAGCGCGTTGGGGGCGGAGCCAGTGAGCGGTGGGGGCGGAGCCAGTGAGCCGTGGGGGCGGAGTCAGTGAGCGGTGGGGGCGGAGTCGCTGAGGACGGGGGCGGGGCCTCGCGCTAACGGTCGCGCGGCCGTCGCACCTGCACGAGGCTGTGGCCCGAGCGTCCTGTGGAGAAGCCGCGAAGCGCGGGCGACCCGGGGGTCGGGCGGGCCAGGTCCGCGAGGCCGCGGCGGCAGCTGTGCAGGCCCGGGGAGCAGCCGGCCGGGCGAGCCTCGGGTAAGCAGCGGCGTGGACGGCCAGGTGGCGACGCGGGCCAGGCCTCCAGCTGTGGGGCGGCGTCCGAGGAAGGGAGCCCGCGTGGGTCAGGGCCCGGCGTTCGGCTGGCGGAGGCCCTGAGGGAGCGGCGGGCGCGCGCGTGCCGGGAGGGGAGCGGGCGGAGCCGCGCAGCGTGTGGGGTACGTGCCTGCGCCCCACGCGGAGTCCGGTCCTGGTCGCATCCTCGGCTCACCGCGGGGTTGGCGGGGGCAGGTTGTCTTGTGGCGCCGCCCGCCCTCCCAGCGCCTCCCGCGGCCCCCGAGCTTTGCCCCTCCCGGGGCTTCTCGCGGCCGGTGCCGGAGGAGGACACGCGGGAAAGCTCCTCCCGGAGCTGAGAGCGGCTGACACGTGGGTCCTACTTTGAGTTTTCCAAGCCCCGACCTGTCAGTTAAAAAGTGCAGTGGTGGCTCACGCCTGTTTTCCCAGCACTTTGGGAGGCCGAGGTGGGCGGATCACCTGAGGTCAGAAGTTCGAGACCAGCCTGACCAACGTGGAGAAACCCCGTCGCTCCTAAAAATACAAAATTAGCCGGGCGTGGTGGCGCGCGCCTGTAATCCCAGCTACTTAGGGAGGTTGAGGCAGGAAAATCGCTTGAACCGGGAGGCGGAGGTTGCGGTGAACCGAGATCTCGCCACTGCACTCCAGCCTGGGAGACAGAGCGAGACTCCATCTCACAAAAAAAAAAAAAAAAAAAAAAAAGGCCGGGCTCGGTGGCTCACCCCTGTAATCCTTTGGGATTACCTCAGCTTTGGGAGGCCGATGAGACCAGCCTGGCCAACATGGTGAAACCCCATCTCTACAAAAAATACAAAAATTAGCCAGGCGTGGTGGCGGGCGCCTGTAATCCCAGCTACTCGGGAGGCTGAGACTGGAGAATTGCTTGAACCCAGGAAGCAGAGGTTGCAGTGAGCCGAAATCACGCCACTGCACTTCAGCCCCCGCGACAGAAAAAAAAAAAAAAGTGCAGATGTCTGCTGGGTGCAGTGGCTCATGCCGGTCACCCCAGTGCTTTGGGAGGCCGAGGCGGGAAGATCACCTGAGGTCAGGAGTTGGAGACCAGCCTGACCAACATGGTGAAACCCTGTCTCTACTTAAAAACAAAAACAAAAACAAACAAACAAAAAACAAAAATTAGCCGAGCTTGGTGGTGGTGCCCCTGTAATTCCAGCTACTTGGGAGGCTGAGGCAGGAGAATCACTTGAACCCGGGATGCAGAGGTTGCAGTGAGCCAAGATCGCGCCATTGCACTCCAGCCTGGGCAACAGAGCAAGATCCTGTCTCAAAAAAAAAAAAAAAAAAAATCATGGGAAATCATGGGAACCTCATCACTGAGCTCCCTGGAAACTTCTTCATTTGTCTACAATAGCAAGATAGAAATCACACTTGTTCCCATAATTTCAGTGCATGTTATAAATGTAAAATTAGCTGTTAACTAAAATTCTGTGTCTCCCAAAGGCTAATTGTAGCAATATTATCCTCAGTTTACAAATTAGATCGCTTTTAAAAGGGCTCATGTATTCATTTACTGAGCACATACCCGGCAGCTGCTGCCTGTGAGGCCCTGAACTGCGTGGTCACTGTGGGGTGCAGTGAGGGCGTGGCTCTGTCCTGACGAACTACCATGTCATGAAGGAGAAAGACAACACAGCAGGCAACTAGCAGTGTCCCCAGGGGAGTTCAGAGGCACGACTGCGTGAGGCAGGGTGGCAGGAAAGGCCTCTACTGGAGACCTGAGGAGAGCCTGTCCTGGGAAGACGGGGATGCTCGAGAAAGAGGCTCTGCATCTGCAAAGGCCCGAGGCCCAGGCTGAGGAAATGCAGCCAGGGTACCGGAGAGCGGTTCTCAGGGCAGAGGCCAGGTCAGCTGGGCATGGCACGCTGCCGCAAGGAGTCTGGATTTGAGTCAAGGTGCAGTGGGAAGGGTTTTTTGTTTGTTCGTTTGTTTGTTTTTTGAGACAGAGTCTCGCCCTTTTGCCCAGGCTGGAGTGCAGTGGTGCAGTCTTTGCTCACTGCAACCTCCTCCTCCCTGGTTCAAGGATTCCCCTGCCTCAGCCTCCCGAGTAGCAGGGATTAGAGGCGTGCGCCACCATAC